>NC_000006.12:8090303-8241818 GCF_000001405.40 Homo sapiens | reverse complement strand
TACGATCCATAATAGCTGCACCACAAGAAATAGCAATTCCCCTTCTACATCAAGTTATGCTAAGTGAGGATATAACATAAGTGACTTCACATGAACATGGGAATTACATAAATGAGTTGTTTAGGTAAAAACCACTGCTAAGTTAAGCTGCCTATTTTTTCACTCATGAGGGTTGAATACAGTGACAAACTCATTTGTGGATGTTGGGCAATTTGATCCAAGGTGACCTGTTACTGCCTCTGCTCAGAAATACATATTCGTTACAAACTAATTCTCCTTTTACCAAACTCATGACTTTGAGAACAATAATCCTACCTAGCAGCTTGCAAAATCTGTTAGGGCTGGACAAGGTACATTTTTTTTTTTTTTGAGACAGTCTTATTTGGAAAGATCAGTGTAAGAATTCAAAGCCTACTGGTTAAAACCATTAGTCTATTCCTGGACTGGTCCTTACTCACTAAGCCATCCAAGGTGCAACTTAGACATCCTGTGCCCAGGATCCATTCCAATGCCCTATAGACATTCAAATCTACAGCATTTCTTTGAAGTAAGACCTCAAATTCCTCAGGCCAAAACCTTTCCACACAGTTAACTTTGCAAAGAAGCTTACTTATATCAAGGGTGGAAAACATTTTCTTACTTAAATTCTCTCAAGATAAATAATTAGGTCTCTAATTAAAGGCTTGAAGCATTTCTGATTTTACACGAAGACATACATCAGCACAAGAAAACATGTTAGCACGTTCAAAAATAACACCATCATTTAATATCTATATTAAACCTTCTCTTAAAAGCAAGAAACAAGTAGGAGATTGAGTCAGAATTGTTGCACTGTGTCAGCCCCTTCTCAGCCTGTGTCCTGAATTCTCACCTATCATTCTAGCTCTCCTCTAAGTGCAAACATCCAAGCATGTGAAAGTTTTGCGTGCAGGTGTGTTTCCTGTACCTGCCTCAGTGTGAAGCCACCCTGTTTCTGGCCCCGAGGAGAAGTTCTCTTTCCTTGCAGCAACATAATGTTTTAAAAAGCTGACTTTCAAACCTCTTAGTGAATTTTTTAATGGATTAAATTCATCATGTCACCAGCTGCTGTGCAGCTAATAGAGCCATAAAACACTGTATTAAAGGATTACCCATGCAAAATTTCCTCTGGTGCTAATGTGAATTTTAATACTTTTAACATTTAGTTGAGACGGGAATGTCCAAGAACAGCTTGTCCAATAGGTTGTTCTATGAAATTAAGTTCCTCGTCTCATCAGAAATGCCAGGACTCCATTAAGTTAAAGTTTTACAGAGAGGCTACGATGATTCACTGTGCAGCATTTGTGAAGAGAGAGACAGCATCTGCTTCTACATTAATGCTATCTAAAAAAAAAAGAAGAAGAAGGGAGGAGAAAAGCAAAACAGTCATGAATCCCGTAAGTTCACGGAGACTGGGCTGAACAGAAGAAAACGCTAACTTCAGATTTGTGGAAGGTCAATTTATAAAAACGGAAAACAATGCTAATAATTGGGAACACCTAAATTTATATCCTCTTACAAGTCACTTGTCAGAAGGTCAAAAAGTCTCAAAGACACACAAAGTGGCGATTATACAAAATCACATGGATATCAAACTTTGCATAAGAAGAAATGTGATTATCTATATCTGGGCAACAGAAGAAAGAACCGAGGGAAAAATGTAGCTGATAGGGAGTGAAAAGAATCATAGGGAACGATGGCGGAAATTATGTAGTTCAAGTTCTTCATTCTACAGGGGATAATGCTGAGACCCTGAGAAGTTGTAGCTTGCCCAAAGGTTACACAGCTAGTCACATGCAGATTGGAGAATAAATCGCAGGTTTCCTGACACCCAGCCCGAGACACCATGTGTCTCCCTTACGTATCTATAAATATATACATATCGATTTTATTTATGTGAAATGGCTTACATATTAAGTAACAATAAAGAAGCAAGGAGTAGACAATAATAAGATCAGGATCCTCCAGCGATATGTTGATAAATAAGCTAACAAAGCTGTATATATTGCGTGTCGTTTCCAAAATAGTTCTAAATCAGACCACTTTCAGAAGACTTAACTTGAAATGTTACATTCTTTGTTTCATCTCCTTCCCCTTTTTTCCTGAGTGACCCTTCAAATCCAGATTGCAACTCTTACCTGTGCTTCTGAAACATTACAGCATTTCATTATTTGCTAAAGAAATTGCATCTTAAGTGAGGTTACTAAAAACAATGCAATCTTTCTTGAATGTTGTTCAGTAATTGGGCTAAATGTAATCATCGACGGAGGCTGCAAATTCTCATCACAATTAAAGTGGACATTAGAGTGTGTACCATGCCCTATTTGAAAATACAACCCAAGGATAATTGGTTTTCATGGAAATTCTCCAAAGCCAATGTTCTTCACCCCGACTGAATTTTGTCCACAGCTCCATATTTTGTACTCTGTATGTATTGCTGTTCTGAGAGCCTGTCATTTCTTATCAGAATGAGAAAGGCTAAAGAGATAATATTTCAATAACATACTGGCCTGATCATAAAATAACTCAATGGAAATGTGTAACTGCCTCAGGCAGCTCGGCAGGGTACTCAGCAGTCAGATCATTTCTATTCTGGGTTTTTTTTTTATGGTTACATTTTCTGTTATATCAGACATCCCCTCAAGTCTTAGTTATGCTTTTATTCAAAAGGGAGAACCACAGTATAAAGACCTACAAAACTTATTATGATATATTACTCTAAAGAAATAAAAGTCGCTGCCACAGTGGCATATTGATAAGGACAGGCCCGCCTCTTTCACTGACCTTTCTCCATCATCTCCCCCACCCGGAGTTGAGGCTGAGCTTCTCAGTTGCTAGGCAACAGGGGTCACAGTTTTCAGGTCTTCAACCTAGTCAAAAAGAAGACATGATCTTCAGAGAAAAGGCGGATACTCGGCAGCAGTGAGAATTTCAATACATACGGAGGTTTCTGATTTTTTTTTATCATGCTAAAGGCTGAAATGGAGAAATTTTGACTTGTCAAAAGATTGTGGGAACAGGTTTTTAAGTTCTGGTGATTAGAATCTATCACTGAAACAATATGAAGAAAATACAGTCAAGCCTCTTTTTGATGAACGCACTGACATGTGGCTTAGGATTTTAGCTGCCAGGAGAATGATGATCAAGACACGTCAAAAACAGATCTTGGGAGATGAATTTGGGGGCTGATTTGGAGATGAGGGTTTTTTGGTTTGGGTTTTTTGGTTTGGTTTTAACATTCCTTCTCAGACATTACTGCATTCTGGCATGTTTAAGAGCAGTGCTGCAGGCAACACAGCCGCTCCTGAAGGTCAGCTGCAAGAAAGCTCATTCCCCACCCCTTTTCCTAGCACCAAGTCAGCACTCCCTTTAAACTTTAATAAAGGGCAGGAGAAAGAACCTATTCCTCAACCGGAGAGGAACACGGCACCACTATGTAATTGCATTTGACAGTACATTCTGTAGGTATGTATTTAACTTCAATTATTATTACTCTAATAACACTTCAATCATGGCAACTTTTTAAACACAGAATTTGGTAGATTTAAAAAAGTGTGAGAGTTAGTAAGAGGGCTTTCGAATTTCCCAATTCATGGTCTACTTGATTATTTTTGTCCTAGAAAAAGAGCAGCAATTTTTATTTCACCTTATTTCAATACCCACTCACTCTGTAAATAATAGCAGTATCTTGGAGAAGAGAAATAATTATTAACTCCGAAAGTTTTAATTTGCTCAATGTGACGTTTTGAGGGAGAGAATAAAAAAGTGTGTGTGAGTGTGTGTGTGTGTGTCTGTGTGTGTGTTGGGAGAAGATAGCTAATTATAAACTCCAGATGAATAATTTGAAATCTGGACTTTAGAAAGCCAGATATAACGGTTTCCTGGTTTCTTTCACTCTGGGCCATATCTAAGTTCCTATAGCTCCCACCTGATTTGAGCCCTGGCCGCAAGATAGACATCCCAGCTCATATAAATAGCAATGAGATAGCCAGGGGGCAAGTCATGTGCCTGGAGACTGTGGCTGTCAGATAACTCTAATGATTTCTTTGGCCCTTCAGGGTGAAAAATTTACTTCATACTTTTTTTGTCTAATATTTGCCATTTTCCTTTCCCTGAAGATAACTGTCATTTTTAGATATGTCTGCTGCCTTTTCCAAGTTGTCAGCATCAAAAGAACACAAAACGAGGCAGTTGGAAAAGATGTAGACCCCGTTCCACTGAGTGAGAAGCACAGAGATGCTTTAAAAGGCAGAATTGGGCCGGGCATGGTGGCTCATGCCTGTAATCCCAGTACTTTGGGAGGCCGAGGCGGGTGGATCACCTGAGGGCAGGAGTTCGAGACCAGCTCGGCCAACATGGTGAAACCCCGTCTCTACTAAAAATATAAAAATTAGCCAGGTGTGGTGGTGCATGTCTGTAATTCCAGCTACTCCAGAGGCTGAGGCAGGAGAATCGCTTGAACCTGGGAGGCAGAGGTTGCAGTGAGCCAAGACTGCACCACGGCACTCCAGCCTGGGCAACAGGAACAAAACTCCATCTCAAAAATAAATAAATATAAAGGCAGAATGGGTGAAATACTTCTCAGCTATTGCTAAGCGTCCTCCTCAGATCTGTTCTGCACCAGGTCCTTGCTGACTCACAGATCCTGCTTTTTGTTCAGTCTTGGCCATGACTTCCAAAACTCACAGGCCACAGAGGGCAGGAAGGGGAAACATGAGTTTCCTTCAGAGTGGCCTCCTGCAATCATAAGGACCATCTTGGATGGTGTTTCTAGGCTTGTGTGGACAGTAGACCGGAACCTGTCCAGAAACTGGCTGGCTGGTCTACAAGGAGGCAAGCACAAAGTCAAGAGTAAGAATTAATTTTTTTATTATTATTATTCTTTTTTTCAGACAGAGTCTCACTCTGTCGCCCAGGTTGCAGTACAGGGGTGCAATCTCGGCTCACTTCAACCTCCACCTCCTGGGTTCAAACAGTTCTTCTGCTTCAGCCACCCGAGTAGCTGGGACTACAGGCATGCGCCACCACACCCAGCTAATTTTTGTATTTTTATCAGAGACGGGGGTTTCACTGTGTTGGCCAGGCTGGTCTCGACCTCATGACCTCAAATGATCCACCAGCCTCAGCCTCCCAAAGTGCTGGGATTACAGGCTTGAGCCACCGCACCTGACCAAGAATAAGAATTTGGAAATTTTCACCACCATTGGATAGAGTCACTATATGCCTGTTGAATCTAATCAAAAAAAAAAGAGATCCTATGTATTGTATGTCTCTTTCTATGAAACTCTTCCAGTAATTTTTATAATATATTATATTTTATCAAAGTATGGGCCCACAATGGATTGGATCTTTTTTTTTTTAAAGTTTTTTTAAACGCTGGCCCTGGAAAAGGACTGTCTTGAGCTGAGGTTATTGTATTCAACTTGCAATGGTCCTAGTAAAATTACGATGAACCAGGTCTCTATACAGAAAACTCTTTAAAGTAGAGAGGCAGGAGCCCACTGAGGGTCCCAGGGGGAATCTCCTGCCCGAAATCTGTTTGCCTTAAATGTCACGATGCCTGCAATTTTTTTTCTTTGAGCTAAGCATTTCTTCTCTGAGTTCTTTTATTTATTTATTTATTTATTTATTTATTTATTTATTTATTTATTTTTTGAGACAGAGTCTCACTCTGTCGCCCAGGCTGGAGTGCAGTGGCGTGATCTCAGCTCACTGCAACCTCTACCTCCCGGGTTCAAGCAATTCTCCTGCCTCAGCCTCCCAAGTTCTTGAAAGGCAAATCAATGTAGATACATTGATATCTGTGTGGGTTCGCCATTAGACTGATTTTCACTGAGTGTAGAAGGCAGACATTGACCACTGTTGCAAGAGGAAAAAAAGCAAATAACAATAATAATAAATAAAATAATTTGGGTTAAGTGTAGGGTTTGGTGGAGAATCCAAGAATCTTCGTTCTGACAGGGGTCCTTATGCCTCCACACAGCTTTTACTTCTCTATCTATCTCTGCTGCCTTCCACGAGGTTGCATCTCCCCACATTCCTCCCCGGGGAGTGGTCCTGACTTCTCCAGAATCTTTCTTACCCTGCTCCAGCCAAGAAAGAACCAGAAGTTCCTTCAGAGGAGGACAGCTAGAGTTTGCCCTTCCTTGGACTTTGTCCTTAGATCCATTCTCCACATTCCCCCTGCTCTGTCTGTACCTCAGGGATGGTGGTTTCCAGAATGCTTGTCCTCTTGGCTTCCACTTAGATTTGTTCAATGGGAGGTGCTCACAGAAGACTGGAGCACAAGACAAAGGGGGAACCAAAGATTCTCTCCTTCTCACTCTACTTTGATGGACACCTCCAGCAGTAGCTACATCTGTCTAGGATTCCAGCTTCTACCAAGCAGTTCCCATTGTGGTTCCAGAACCATCCAATGGAGCCAGCTTCTGGGATCTGGTAACACCATCTTTCCCTGTGTCTCTTCAGCCCTTCCTCACATTGCAAGTCTCTGAGCGCCCCCATAGTCCTGTCTGCCTCCTCAGTTCTTCTAATACCTATGTTATCAATACACTAAATTAAACTCTCTCTGTTTGAAATGCCCAAATTGATAGTTATTCTCTTGACTTGATATTCTTATGGGTAAGAGACCTAGTTGTATGGGCAACTATGTAACTAATATCTAGGCACACAGCTTGGGCAAAGAGATTTCTGACAGAGAATAGAATATGTGCATGTCAATCATGACTACAAGTTTATCACTGGACTGGAAGCTCCTTGGGCATCAGAATCCTGCCTTGTTTATCCTTGTATCCCCAACACATAATTGGTGCATATTGGAAGTTATTTGAAAATTTTGACTTTTTAAAAAGCAGAAAAATGAATGTTTTATTTGAATACTTTTAAATAAAGAAAAAAAATGTGTTCATTCTGTACTGTGCAGAAGTAAGACTACAGTCCTTCATTTAATCTTTTTAAACCACAGAAATCCCTGGACACTGGTTTTTAGACCAATCATTAGCCTAATATTTTGGTGATATAATGAGCCCAAAGGAACATAATTTTCCAATTAAAAAAAACTCAATCAGATTTGCCTTCAAAAAGGAAGAAATTGTTTCAGTAGAATTCCTTGCTGAAACCCAGATTCAGCTAGTCAGTTTCTACCTGGGCAAAGTGTACTTACTTGTAAGAGGTAAATTATCACATCGTAAAACTGTCTGGTGGGGTTCTAACTGTTTGAGGTGTTAAATACCTATGTCACCTTCAAAGAAAACTACTTTTGACATTTACTTCTTAGAAGAAAGGCAGGAGCTAAGGTAGGCGGGACTGGCCTCAGGCAAAATTGGGAAGTCTGGTAGATTGTTCAGTTACCTGCCTCCCTTCTTAACCCCACTCATCCCCTTTCACCTCGCTCTCTCTAGCGCGCGCTCTCTTTCTCTCTCTGCTGCTGGTGCTGCTGCGTCTCTCCTCACCTCCTTTAGAGTCTTCATCTACACTGAGCTCCAAGTAACTGATAATAGCTTAGAAATGGCCGTGTCTGGAATACGTACATTTATACAGTAAACAATTAGATCGGTGTTCCTCAAATTTTAGCAACCATTAGAATCACCTGGAAGACTATTAAAATACAGATTGTAAGGCACCACCCTAGATCCCCTTTAGGCAGTCTGGGTGGGGCACCAGGATTTGCATTTTTTTAACAAATTCCCACATGATGTTGCTGCCACTGTATGGGGACCACCCTTGAGAACCACTGAATTTGTGGTGATACCTACCAGGTTGGCTGAGGCAGGTTCAAGTCCTTCTGAATATGGGGCTGCCTGTTTCCACATTTCCCAAACAAGGACAAGCATCAGAATTTAAAGAATAAACCAACAAATAACCAAACTTTTTTTTTTTTTTTTTTTGAGACAGAGTCTCACTCTTGTCACCCAGGCTGGAGTGCAGTCGCATGATCTCAGCTCACTGCAACCTCCGCCTGCTGAGTTCAGGCAATTCTCCTGTCTCAGCCTCCTGAGTAGCTGGGATTACAGGTGCTCACTACCACACCCGGCTAATTTTTATATTTTTAGTAGAGACGGGATTTCACCATATTGGTCAGTCTAGTCTCGAACTCCTGACCTCAGGTGATCCACCCACCTTGGCCTCTCAAAGTGCTGGGATTACAGGCGTGAGCCACCACACCCAGCCCCAAACATTTTTTAAAAATACAAATTCCCCTGGCTGTACCTCCAAGATTCTAATTTGGTAGGCCCATGGTGGCACCTAGAAATTTTTTTAAAGCACCTGATCTGATGCTGAGGCTCAGGCCTTTGCGAACTCTCTGTTGAGAGGCCAGTGTGCAGGGAAAGACCATTACCTCTTACATCAGGCAAACCAGAGTTCCACCCCAGCCCCATTGCTCACCACCAGTGGAACTCTAGATAAATTACTGAAACTCCATAAGCCTCCATGTGTTCACTCACAAAATGGAATCTTTAGTAGCCTTAAAACGACCTCATTTTGTCAGCTCCCACCCTGCCTATCGAGAGGGCAACCTCTAACTCTGGATTCCATAAGGGAGAAAGAAAGAAAGACACTATGCTTGTCAATGACATTTTTAATTTGGGGCTCTCAACAAAATTTCAAGGTAGGGGGACAAATCTTCCTAATCTTTTTTAGTTGCAAAATAAACATTCTGCTCATCAGTTGCTTCTTTGCAAAGTGGTGGCTGCTTGGACAATTAGCATAACCCATCTCATTGTAGATTCCTTAAGTAGAGTAGCAGCATGTTTGTAGATGACTTTCAACAACAGGCTCTGATCCTGTCATTTTTCCCGCAACTCCTAGCTATATGATTTAATTGGGGAAAAATCTACCATCAAAAAATCTTAGAAAAAGGAATGTCAGATTAATTAATAAATTTTGCAGCCCCTCTTGCCACAAGAAAATGACGTGACTTAGCAGTTTCCTTAATTTATTCAATAGTTTTCAGAGGTGCTACATACTAGGGCTATATAGGTGAAGACCAACTCCTCAAAGGGCCCATGCCAATGAGTGTAATGGTCATGTAAGCAAATCCCTCAAATAAAATGTTGTGGGTTCCTGAAAAGAAGCATGTCAAGGGTACAGTGTCTCCTTAGGGAGAAAGTATGCTATAGCCTATAGAACATGAGGCTAAGCGTGTTTCAAAAAATCACTGGCAGATTGGGCGCAGCGGCTCAGGCCTGTGATCCCAGCATTTTGGGAGGCCAAGGTGGGTGGGTTGCTTGAGCCCAGGAATTTGAGACAGACTGGGAAACATGGCAAAACCCCATCTTTACAAAAAATTAGCCAAACATCATGGCATGTACCTGTGGTCCCAGCTACTCAGGAGGCTGAGGTAGGAAAATCGCTTGAACCTGGGAGGTTGAGGCTGCAGTGAGCTGTGATTGCACCACTGCATTCAGCCTGGGCAACAGAGTGAGACCCTGTCTCAAAAAAAAAAAAAAAAAAATCACTGGCAGCTCTCTAAAGGATAGAGGGAATGATTCATGCCTAGATGCAAGAAAAGCAGTTAAGTAAGTGGTTTCTGAACTTCAGCATGCATAAAAATCACTTGCAAAGCTTGATTTTAAAATACACATTCCTGGGAGCCACCCCAGATTCAGAGCCTGAAAAAGAATCCAAGAATGTGCATTTCCATGAAGTGCCAGGTGACGCTGATGCTACTGTCCTTGAGTCACACTTAGTCCAAGCCGGAGTTGGAAGCGTGTTGAGACGGCACGGGCAAATGTGTTGAGGTGGCTTGCAATCTAGTGATGAGGGCCTGGAAGGCAGGTCTACTTGTTGGAAAATGGATCATTCACAATACATTCATTTGGAGAAACAATGAAGCACACTTTGCTAGGGGCAACACCAAGATTGGAGGCAAGAAGACTCTAGAAATGTTATTTCTAGAGAAATACTAGATATTACTAGAGAAATGTGGGCTTTACACTCGCAGAACTGAGTTCAAATTTCAGCATTGCCACTTACTGACTGGGTGATTTTAAGCAAGTTACTCAATCTCTCAGACAATTTCTTCATCTATGATATGAGCAAAACAATATCAAACTCCAGAGATTTTTAAATATTAAAGGAGATGACATACATATAAGAGAATCTGACACTGAAGCCAACATTCAGTGGGCCCATGAATGGTAGTAGTAAGTGCATGGCCTCTGCTCTCTCACCTCACAGAGCCTAAAAGTTAAGGCTATTTTTAAAAGTTAATTTTATACAAGGATGATTTGAAGAAATTCTATATTCATGGTTAAAATAATGTTCAATGGAAGAAGTTTGTTTTTTTTGTTTTTTTGTTTTTTTTTTTGTGAGACAGGGTCTTGCTCTGTCACCCAGACTGGAGCGCAATGGCGTGATCTCAGCTCACTGCAACCTCCACCTCCCAGGTTCAGGCAATTCTCCTGTCTCAAACTCCCAAGTAGCTGGGATTGCAGGCGCATGCCACCATGCCTGGCTAATTTTTGTATTTTTAGTAGAGGCGGGTTTCACCATGTTGGCCAGGTTGGGCTTGAACTCCTGACCTCAGGTGATCCACCTGCCTCGGCCTCCCAAAGTGTTGGGATTACAGGCTTGAGCCACCGCACCTGGCCAGGAATAACAGCTTGTTAACAGTCGCCACCTCCTAAGGATATTTGAAGTTTAAATGAAATAATACATCTAAAGACCCCAACATGTGATTTTTTTTTTTTTTTTTTTGAGACAAGGTCGTGCTCTGTCACTCAGGCAGGAGTGTGCAGTGCCGTGGTCAGCGCTCACTGCAACCTCAAACTCTTGGGCTCAAGTGATGCACCTGCCACAGCTTCCCAAGTAGCTAGTACTGTAGCCACACACCACCATGCCTGGCTATTTTTTTTAATAGAGTCAAGGATCTAACTATGTTGCCCAGGCTGGCCTTGAACCCATGGCCTCAAGCAATCCTCCTGCCTCAGCCTCCCAAAATGCTGGGATTCCGGGCGCAAACCACTGGGCCCAGCCTGTATTTATTATTTCATAGAAACTCAGCAAATGCTGATTTATTTCTCCCTTCCTCCTGTTAATTCTAATGGAGGAGATTTCTAGGAAAGTCTCATGAAGTAGATGTGGTTTGAGCAGAACTCCAATTCTCCTAAGCCAGGGCTTGCTTTAGTGGGTTTTCCCCAGTGTTTTGAAGGGATAATATTCTATCAGATTGCCAGACCACTGCAACAACACTCCCCAGTGCTCCTAGACCCTGTTATGTTCAGCAGCACACAGATTGCAAAGCATTGTTATTGTCCTGCTAATAGATGTACCCTACCACCGAATCGCTCCTGTCTCTGTGTGATGAAAGGCAAGGAGAAAACCTGCTGAAGTGTAACATTTAGGATCAGAAACTTGAAAGTGCTTTTTAAAATTCTATCAGAAAGATCATGAAAGCCACTTTGGTCAAACTCACTGTGCATGTAAAGGGCTTTTTGAACTTTTTACCTTTTGGTGATGCTTTTGATCCGCAACGCACATGATCTCATTAAAAACATATTATTTAGCTTAAACTTGGAACACTTACCATTTTTTCCAGTAGCCTGGGGCTTGGGGCAGAACAATGCAGTTCATGGCAACATGACATAAAGTATCTGCCAGGATATTGCTGCAAAGGTATGCCGGGGAGGAGTGGACCCTCTGCTCAGACACTTCAGAGAGCTTTGCAAGGTGAGGTCAGCACTCGCCTGCCAATGAAGTGAATCCTAATTACTCAGGAATGCTCAGCCTGGGCTGGCTGACACTCAAAGCAATCAATCTTAGTGGAAGAACCAGAGACACCTGGTTTTCAGATGAGAATTACTTTCCCAGGTCCAGGTAAATAAATGGTCTTGTTTTTCAACTCTCATATCATCTTTGGAGCAAAAGTACAACTTAAATCGCGAGACTACTGATTTGTGGCTTAGCTTTCCTTCGTGAACTGAAGGTGGTTGAGGTCTAACAAGGTAAAGAAAGCTATTGCGAATGTGAACACAATGTATAATGAATAATGACTCCTCTTATTTTAAATTACATTTGATAGCTTACCGTGCAAGATTATTCAAATACCCCTGTGTGGTGGGTGGAAAATAAATAGAAAACAAAACTGTCCAAGTCAAGCGGGTAACAATTCCAATTAAGAAACAATTTAAATCAAGGAAAAATAGATCACCAGGTAATGGTTTGTTTCCAGGGGTGATATATTTCCCAGTTAATGTCAATTTCTCTTTGTATATAAGTCAGCCCCTTCCTACTTCAAAAACGGGATTAACTGGGGGAAATACATAGTTCCTCTTATGTTGCAGCCCCAAATCAAACACCAACGAGGACCTGATAAAACAAAATGCCCAGAAGTTGGAGGTGCAGAGTAATTTGTGGGTCAGTAAAGTGAAAGACACTGACTTTTATCTTTCTTGCCTTTCATCCTGCTGACTTGTCACCTCATGTGGCTTCAGACGTCCTGACCCAGTTGGAGGAAGGAAATTGCAGGGAAGGGCAGTCTCAGCTCACTGCAGCCTCGACCTCATGGGCTCAAGCGATCCTCCCACCTCAGCCTCCTGAATAGCTGGGACTAGAGGTGTGTGCCACCATGCCCGGCTAATTTTTGTATCCTTTTGTAGAGATGGGGTGTCGCATGTTGCGCAGGCTGGTCTCAAACTACTGAGCTCAAGCAACCCACCCACCTCGACCTCCAAAAGTGCTGGGATTTCAGGGGTGAGCAACCATGGCTGGCCAGCTTTTTCAACAGGTTATTTTCTTTCATTTCTCTTCAGTTCTTGACATTCCCATTTCCACTATCCCAACTGCCGACTGGCTCCTCTAGAACCATTTTTAAGGAATACCTATCTGGTCTCTTTTTTAAAAAAAAACAAAAATAGAAGCAAAAAACAGGGTCTGGCTTTGTCCCCCAGTGTCACCTAGGCTGGGGTGCAGGGGCGTGACCTCGGCTTACTGCAGCCTTGACCTCCCAGGCTCAAGCTATTCACCCACCTTGGCCTCCCAAAGTGCTTACAGATATGAGCCACCACCCCTAGCCTGGTCTCATTTTTAAGAACCATTGGTGATATTACCAACTCCTGATTTTTCACAAATTTTTCACAAACAGATGGACAAAATTATTTCTGTGTCTAAGAAGTAATGTGAAGAAGAGATACAAAAGTCAGCCAGGCGTGGTGCCTCACGCCTGTAATCCCAGCACTTTGAGAGGCCAAGGCAGGCAGATCACCTGAGATCAGGAGTTTGAAACCAGCCTGGCCAACATGGTGAAACCCTGTCTCTACTAAAAATAGAAAAATTAGCCGAGCATGGTGGCATCTGCCTGTAATCCCAGCTACCCAGGAGGCTGAGGCAAGAGAATTGCTGGAACCCGGGAGGCAGAGGCTGCAGTGAGCCGAGATTGCGCCACTGCACTCCAGCCTGAGCGACAGAGCGAGACTCAATATCAAAAAAAAAAAGGAAAGAAAAGACACACAAGTCCTCAGCTAACTCCAGCACACTTTCTTTAACATAGTAAATTACTTTAAAATAAATTTACTAAAATATATCCAGTTAGCTAGTGGAATTTCGTTGGGGTTTGAGGTTTTTCCTGAGTTGTTTAAATTGACTCAGTCATGAATGACTTTGTAAATTAAAAATTAAATGGACTTTCAAAAAATAAAATACATTTACTCAAAATAAAATTACTTAAAAAGAAATTCAGGAGTCTTTACTATTAAGTCTCACGTAGCTTGGACTAATAGTCTCCAAGTTCAGTGCCTCACCCAGTAGCACCATCACTCAGAGCAACAGAAGTCTCTTAAAAAACTTCACAGTAGGCCGGGCGCGGTGGCTCACGCCTGTAATCCCAGCACTTTGGGAGGCCGAGGCGGGTGGATCATGAGGTCAGGAGATCGAGACCATCCTGGCTAACAAGGCGAAACCCCGTCTCTACTAAAAATACAAAAAATTAGCCGGGCGCGGTGGCGGGCGCCTGTAGTCCCAGCTACTCGGGAGGCTGAGGCAGGAGAATGGCGTGAACCCGGGAGGCGGAGCTTGCAGTGAGCCGAGATTGCGCCACTGCAGTCCGCAGTCCGGCCTGGGCGACAGAGCGAGACTCCGTCTCAAAAAAAAAAAAAAAAAAAACTTCACAGTAAATTAAGTACAATTAGCAGAGCAAACATCAACACTACCAGCCCAGGAAAGAAGTAATCGCTCAGCCTTCATTCTCAGCGCCCATTAAGACTTGAACCATTTCTCAAATCAGTGATCTTTTTAAGTGATCATCATCATGAACGCCCTCCTGAATTAGGGCCTCCTCATTATGGGGCACATAATGATATTAAACTTCAGCCTTTGTTAAGAAGTGGAGGTAATAAAGCTTTCCAAGAAGCGACAGCTTATAATTTTGATCCAAACTATAAAAATAGCTAAGTGCTTCCTAATGCTTTCATAAGCTAGGCTTTTTAAAATGTTCCTTTAAGAAGCATTTCCTTGAATGACAGACATAAACGGCTGGAAGAGACCTTTGAAAGCAGATAGTTCTGCTCCCTCATTTAACAAATGAGAACACTGAGGCCCAGACATGTCAGGTGATTTGCACAATGTCCTACAGCCAGTTAGTTGCAGAATCAGCTTAACATGTAGCAAATACAGTCATCCCTCGGTATGGTTCAACAACACAGGGGGTATTGGTTCCAGGATCTCCCAAACTCCCAAGGATACCAAATTCCAAGGATGCTCAAGTCCCTTATATAAAGTGACATATTATTTGCATATTTGCACACCCTCCTGCGTACAGTTACGCACCGCATAATGATGTTTTGGTCAACAGCAGACTGCATCAACAGCAGTGGCCCTAGAAGATTATAATGGAGCTGAAACATTCCTATTGCCCAGTGATGTCTTAGCCATCCTAACCTGGGCCTGACCTGGTGGTCCAGCACGTGCCTTACATGTTTGTGGTGATGCTGGAGTACACGAACCCACTGTGCTGCCAGTCAGCACATGAAAAGTAGAGCACATGAACAAGGTGAAACCCCGTCTCTACTAAAAATACGAAAAATTGGCTGGGCGTGGTGGTGGCCGCCTGTAGTCCCAGCTACTCGGGAGGCTGAGGCAGGAGAATGGCGTGAACCCGGGAGGCAGAGCTTGCAGTGAGCTGAGACGGCGCCACTGCACTCCAGCCTGGGCGACAGAGCAAGACTCCGTCTCAAAAAAAAAAAGAAAAGAAAAGAAAAGAAAAGTAGAGCACATGCAATTATGTATAATCCATAATGCTTGACGACAATAATAAACGACTGTGTTACTGGTTTATGTATTTACTATACTTTGTATCATCATCTTGGAGTGCATTGCTTCTACTTATAAAAAAAGAAAAAAGTTGGCCGGGCACGGTGGCTCATGTGTATAATCCCAGCACTTTGGGAGGCTGAGGCGGGCAGATTACCTGAGGTCAGGAGTTCAAGACCAACATGGTGGAACCTCGTCTCTATTAAAAAAACAAAAATGAGCCAGGCGTGATGGCGCACACCTGTAATCCCAGCTACTCAGGAAGTTGAGGCACGAGAATCACTTGAACCCAGAAGGTGGACGTTGCAGTGAACCAAGATGGCGTCACTGCACTCCACTCTGGGTGACAGAGCAAGATTTCATCTCAAAAAAAAAAAAAAAAAAAGGAAAAAAGTTAACAGTAGACAGTAGACCGGTCTCAGGCAGATCCTTCAGAGGGATTCCAGAAGAAGGCATTTTTACCATAGGAGATGACAGCCCCATGTGTGCCGTTATGCCTGAAGACCGGCCAGTGGGACAAGATGTGGACATGGAGGCCAATGATATTGATGATCCTGACCCTGTGTAGGCCTAGGCTAATGTGACTGTTTGGGTCTTAGTTTTTAACAACATTTTAAAAAGGAAAAAAATTAAAATTTTAAAAATAGAAAAAAGCTTATAGAATACGAATATAAAGAAAGAAGGTTGGGCACGGTGGCTCACACCTGTAATCCCAGCACTTTGGGAGGCTGAGGCCGGTGGATCACCTGAGGTCAGGAGTTCAAGACCAGCCTGACCAACATGGTGAAACCCCATCTGTATTAAAAACACAAAAAATTAGCCAGGCATGGTGGTGGGTGCCTGTAATCCCAGATACTCGGGAAGCTGAGGCAGGAGAATTGCTTGAACCCAGGAGGTAGAGGTTGCAGTGAGCCAAGATCATGCCATTGCACTACAGCCTCGACAATAAGAGCAAAACTCCATCTCAAAAAAAAGAAGAAACAAAAAGATTCCTGTATAGCTGTATAATGAGTTTGTGTTTTAAGCTAAGTTTTATTACATAAGAGTCAAAATTTTTTTAAATTAAAGTTTATGAAGTTAAAAAGCTACCATAGGCTGTTTATTATCGGAGAAAGAAAAAACAATTTTAATAAATGTAGTATAGCCTAAGTGTACAGTGTTTACAAAGTTGACAGTAGGGTACAGTAACTTCCTGAGCCATCACTTTCACTGCCAAATCACTCACTGACTCACCCAGAGCAGCCTCCAGTCCTGTGAGCACCATTCATTCAACAATGGTACACCTGTACACCACTGTACACCACTACAGGCCAGGTACGGTGGCTCACGCCTGTAATCCCAGCAATGGGAGGCTGAGGTGGGTGGATCACAAGGTCAGGAGATCGAGACCATCTTGGCTAACATGGTGAAACACCGTCTCTACTAAAAATTTTTTAAAAAAATTAGCCGGGTGTGGTGACATGCGCCTGTAGTCCCAGCTACTCGGGAGTCTGAGACAGGAGAATCACTAAAACCTGAAAGGCAGAGGTTGCAGTGAGCCGAGATTGTGCCACTGCATTCCAGCCTGGGCAACAGAGCAAGACTCCATCACAAACACACACACACACACACACACACACACACACACACACTTACCATTGTGTCACAATTGCCTACAGTATTCAGTACAGTACCAGCCTGTGCAGTTTTGTGACCTGGGAGCAAAGGTTTCTACCACACAGCCTAGGTGTGCGGCAGGCTCCACCATCTGGGTCTGTGCAACTGCACTCCACGGTGTTCATTCGCACAAGGATGAAATTGCCCAGTGATTCATCATTTCTCAAAATGTATCTCATCATTAATCAACACATACTGTACTTCAAAGCTATGTAAATTGTTGCTATACTATATTGATTTTTTAATTTTTTTATTATGTTTTTGTCATATATTGTCAATCCGAGGTTGATTGAATCCAAAAATTTGGAACCCGAGTGTATTAGTCAGGGTTCCCTAGAAGGACAGAACTAATAAGATATAGATAGATACATATAGACACAGACATAGATATGGGAGTTAATTAAATATTAACTTACAGGATCACAAGGTCCCACAATAGGCTGTCTGCAAGCTGAGGATCAAGGAGAGCCAGTTCAAGTCTCAAAATTGGAGAATTTGGAATCCAATGTTTGAGGGCAGGAAGCATCCAGCATGGGAAGAGCCAGGCCAAGTCTCAAAACTGGAGAATTTGGAATCCAATGTTTGAAGGCAGGAAGCATCCAGCATGGGAGAAAGATGTAGACTTGGAGGCTAGGGAAGCATCCAGCATGGGAGAAAGATGTAGGCTTGGAGGCTAGGCCAGTCTCACCTTTTCACGTTTTTCTGCCTGCTTTATATTCACTGGCAGCTGATTAGAGTGTGCTCATCCAGATTAAGGGTGGGTCTGCCTTCCCCGGCCAACTGACTCAAATGTTAATCTCCTTTGGCAACACACTCACAGACACACCCAGGATCAATACTTTGCATCCTTCAGTCCAATCAAGTTGACACTCAGTATTACCACCACACCGAGGATACACATGGCCAACTATATAGTTAGAAATAAACATCACTGAGACAGAAGTCTAAAAGCATTTCCACTTTTCTGTTTTTGCTGACTCTAGTAGGCACCAAGAAGAATCCACTGAGTCCAGGTAATTGACTCATTTCCTCATTGCCATAACTATGACAAAGGCACTCCAGATAGGATTATCAGACTTAGCAAATAAAAACACAGACTATCCAGCTAAATTTGAATTTCAAATAAACAATGAATAACTTTTTAGTACTAGTATGTTCCATGCAATACTCGGGACATACTGACACTAAAAGGAATGTTTGATTTTTATCTGAAATTCAAGTTCAACTGAGCATCCTGTACATGATCTGACAATCCTAACTCAAGCCCTTATGAAGATGATAACAAGAAATATTGAGAACTGCTGAACTATGACATTATATCAGTTTTCTAGGGCTCCCATACAAAGTACCACAAATAGGGATGGTTAAAGGACAGAAATGTATCATCTTACAGTTCTGGAGGCTGGAAGTCTGAGGAAGTCCTATTCCTTCTGAGAGAGCATTTGTTCCATGCCTCTGCCAAGCTTCTGGTGACTGCTAGCAATCATTGGCACTCCTTGGCTTGTGGACCCATCACCCCAATCTCTACCTTCTTATTCATGGGCATTTTCTCTGTGGGCAGGTTTCTGTGTCCAAATTTCTCCTTTTTATAAGGACACCAGTCGTACTGGGTTAGGGCTCACCCAATGACCTCATTTTAACTAATTACATATTTAACGATCCTATCTGCACACAAAATTCCATTTTGAATTACTGGGAGTTAAGACTTCAATGTACGAATTGTGGGGGAAGACAGGATTCAACCCACAACAAATTACTTTATTATTATTATTATTATTATTATTATTATTATTATTATTATTATTGAGATGGAGTTTCCCTCTGTCACCCAGGCTGGAGTGCAATGGCAGGATCTCGGCTCACTGCAACCTCCACCTCCCAGGTTCAAGCAATTCTCCTCCCTCAGCCTCCCAAGTAGCTGGGATTACAGGTGCCCACCACCATACCTGGCTAATTTTTGTATTTTTAGTAGAGACGAGATTTCACCACGTTGGTCAGGCTGGTCTCAAACTCCTGACCTCAAGTGATCTAGCCGCCTCAGCCTCTCAAAGTGCTGGGATTACAGTCGTGACCACCGGGCCTGGCCAATACATCACTTTTAATGGCAAAAACTGCAATTACTTTTGCACCAACGTAAATGGCAATGGGAACTAGATATGGCTTATAACATACTCTTGAGTACAGTAGTCCAGTCCTGGGATTCTGACAACCATCACTGTTTCCCCCTCGCTCAGGCTCACGTAATAACTCTGAATCTGTTTCGATGAAAAATATTTCAAAACGAAGCTGGTTTGACGTCTTTGGTCTTTTGCTGTTTTCCAGAATCGTTCTTGGACACTGCTCTCACTGAGCTTACCGTCAGGACTTGATTTCCATGGAGAAGTTTGATTCCCTCCAATACGCTGGCTGCCAGCCCTCCTCACTAAGAAAGGTGACTCTGGGACGGCAGCCTCCTTCCTTCTGAGCCCTCGTCCTATACCTGTGTCCATTTGAGTGGTCTTGTTCTCTCTGACCCCATCAGCTCGGTTAGGCGCATTGGCAATGTGAGGAGCATGCGAAAGCCCCTCTGTTAAAAAGACTCACTTCCTACTTAAAGTTTGAACTGAAAGTGGACCACAGAATCGGTTAGTTGTAATTACTCTTTAATTAGTTTATGCCCCAAATTATGAGGGCTCCATATAAAGCCAGATAGATCTAATGATTGCTCAATTATCTTACAGATAGTTGCAGAATTCGCTTAATATATAAGAAATCCAGCAAGAAATAAACCTCTTTGACATCAAAGTCTAAAAGCATTTCTACTCACAGAAGAGACTCTAAGTTAAATGCTCTTTCCTCTCCACCATGCAGCCTCCTGCTATTTTCTAAATAGTCTAAAAGATGCAGGACTGGCCAGGCACTGTGGCTTGCACCTGTAATACAAGCATTTTGGGAGGCTGAGGCAAGAGGATCACTTTAGGCCAGGAGTTCAAGACCAGCCTGAACAATATAGCAAGATTCCACCTTTACAATATTTTAATAAGCTGGGAGTGGTAGCACATGCCTGTAGCCCCAGCTACTCGGGAGACTGAGGCAGGAGGATCCTTGACCCCAAGAGTTTGAGGCTGCAGTGAGCTATGATTTGATTATAACCCAATGAAGCTGGTTTCTCTCATCAATAAGACTTTGGACAGTGATTTGCATATGCCTGATGGAGCTATAACATTTGCTTCAAAGTTTGCACCAAGAACTGTAGATGCCGCTCACTAGAATATTCAGACATCTGGCTTTGTATAAAAATGACTGGGGCTGGGCACAGTGGCTCAAGCCTGTAATCCCAGCACTTTGGGAGGTAGAGGTGGGAAGATCGCTTGAGTCCAGGAATTCGAGACCAGCCTAGGTGACATAGTGACATCCCATCTCTACAAAAAAATTAAAAGGCATGGTGGTGTGCACCTATAGTCACAGCTACCTGGGAGGCTGAGGCAGGAGGATCACTTGAGCCCAGGAGGTTGAGGCTGCAGTGAGCCATGATCATGCCACTGTACTCCAGCCTGGGTGACAGAGCGAGAACTTGTCTCAAAATAATAATAACAATAATGCCATCCCAACTACAGAATTGATGGGATTCTGTAGTTCAGAGGCTGTCTATTAAGATACCAGAAATTACTTCATCTATGTGAATGCTCAGTTCACTTTTCAAATAAACACTGATTTCTACAATTTGATGTTTAATCAGATGCTCAGCCTAATCAGTATGCACTTTACCTATTTGAAAGAGTACATTCAACAGTGACCACAAAATGTTACTCTCCACAGTTAACCCTGCCTTTCTCAAGTCTAGATAAGCTTTTGCATTCTAGACTATGGTATGTCTGTTACATGTGTATGGCAGATCCATCTTACAACTCTAGCCCAAAAATCTATTTTTGTACTATCCTTGAGCTTAGGATAGGGTTTCAAGATTCTCATTCTACCTCAGATTGTGCCTTATTTATCTAAAATCCTTGCTGAAGTTTCACTGGGTGAGGGGTATTGTAATTAATATCACTGAAGAAAAAAAACCAGAAATGGTAATTTACTATCACCAATCCAGATGTTAACTTTTGATCTTTTGTCCTAGTGCAAAGATTGCCTTTAAAATCAGAGCCAGAAGAATTTTAGACAGTGCTGCTAAATCAGCCCAATCAATGAGGTAGTGTTCTGAAGTTCACCTTGCAGAATTAAACTTGAAATCATACTTTTTTCTACTCCTGTCAAATCCTAATTTTCTTCTGTCTGAAACAGATATATTTTGAAGAAATTTTTTTTTTTTTTTTTTTTTTTTTTGCTCTAGCTTTGCATAGGCCTTTGGCTGAAAGCAGTCATGCTGTTATTTAACCTGGCCTGCTGGGATTCTTGAGGTTATGAAGGCTTTTAAAAAGGTTATAATCTTAGAAGTTATAGTATAAATTTGCATTCCATTCAAGTAGAAAATGAAAAAACAGACACTGTTAGAAAAAGAGTAAAATGCATTCATCTGATTTTTAAAAAATATAAATTGTGGATAAAGATTTTCTTTTGTGTAGGCATATAAAACAAAGTATGCATTTCTGGTTTGAAACTTTGGTGTTCTTTATTCAAGATCACTTCATCTTCACTCAAAGAGGCGATATCTTGTTAATGTATCTCCATTTCTAGCACACTGACATCAGTAACATGTCATATCAAGGGCATAATGTCATATTATATTGTAATAAGTCCTTCCTTCTCAATCTTTTGTCTCTGTGTGTAAGACAGGGCCTCTCTCTGTCGCCCAGGCTGGAGTGCAGTGGTGCGATCAAGGCTCACTGCAACCTCAACCTCCTGGGCTCAAGCAATCCTCCCACCTCAGCCTCCAGAGTAGCTGGGACCACAGCCATGCACCATCATGCTCAGCTAATTTTTGTATTTTTTGCAGACATGGGGTGTCACTATATTGCCCAGGCTGGTCTCAAACTCCAGGGCTCAAATGGTCTGCCCTCCTTAGCCTCCCAAAGTGCTGGGATTACAGGTGTGCACCACCATGCCCACCCTGGGATGGCATTATTTTTATTTCTAGTCCTTAGTTGTATCTGAATGTAATTAAATATCATAGGTATAACACAAATGGCAAATGTCTGTGGATAGACAAGCTGTGAGAAGCATATTAGAGGTGATTGTTTTAATTTTAACGTATTTCCAATCTCCAAACAGAATAATGGTACCTGATGAGTATTCTTTAGAATAAGAAAAATAAATATCTCCAAGGAGGAAAGAATTGGTAGCTGAGGAAATAATGGTTATGTTTTAAATTCGGTTAATACAGGGTTGGGGAAACTCTACTATGTCAATCCATGTTGAACCACCAGGTGGCACACTACTGCCTTCTTTCCACCATTCAACCACAGAAAAAGAAAATGCCGTTGGGAGATGTTGGGTTTAGTTTATTGGTTGCTTTTTACACAGAAAATTCACCAAAACCAACTTAGCCACATGAAGATATGAAGCTACAAGTGGTTCTTTCTCAGCTTTAATATTTTTATTACTATCAGTAGAATTTATATTGCTTTGCTTTTTCTTTAAGCTTTGAGCCATCAAGACGTAAACACACCAACAGAAATGCTAATAAAAACAAGCTCATTGATTACTCTTTACATGAAAGCAGAAACAACTGGGGAAATAATTTTACTTTTCAGAATACTTAAGGATTACCGGCATTTAATACTCTACACGAGCATTTCATATTTGCAAAGTGTATTGTTATATATTTATAAGTAATTACTCACAATAATGAATGTGGTGGCATTTTTTAAAACCCATATGCAATCTAGGTCAAATTCTGAACATTGCACAGATTTCTCTAGCTTTTTGCAACATTTATTCAATGACTTCATTGGCAAACTAACCAGAATCAACCCAATTTTTAAAATACTTTTAACGGAATTCTATGTTTATACTGATTTAGATTCAGCAATTGTCATAATGCCTTACAAATAGTCTTTCCGCCTAAAAGTAAATACGTCTTTAACTCCAGTTTACTGAAAAAAGTACCCTTTTTGCTTACTGAAGTATATCAAACACATTTTGGATTTACCTCAGTTGACTAAGTCCTGGCAATCGGTAAATTAACTAGCACTTTAAACAGAACTTTTAATGTCCATTGATGAAATGGGCTGCACAAATGAGAAATTAGCTTCTTTCAGTTCTAAAATCACAAGGCAGAATGAGGTGAATTCTAGTCCCAGTTTTGCCACCAGCTAGCTGTGTTGCCTCAGGCACATTATTTAAACTCTTTATACCTTCTTTCTCTCAAGTGAAAAATTAAATAAAGTGGAATCTTTCTAAGGTTCTATTTTACTTTTAAAACTGTATGATTTTATTTTTATATTTGAATCTTATATTGTGAAGCATAGTAAAGTATTTCAAAGTAATTCATCAAAGTAGGAAAAGCTAGGAAAAATTCCTAAAGCAATGACCCCCTCGAGTGATGGCAGCAGTGTGCAGACAGCTTGGAGTCTTCTGCATCTCCTCTGATGAGTAAAACCAAGAGCTCTCACCACACAAAGGAAGAGCTCTACACACACCTTTTGCTTTACAATTTCTTCACTTACTCTGGCTAATTGATATCTAGCCACCTCAGAATGAATTCATTAAGCTCTTTCTCTAGCTGTCTTGCACAGAATTTTCAGTAGTATAGATCTGTTTAACAGATTCCAACTGCTGGAACCCACAATGCAAGCTTCCAGAATGATTGATAGCCATAACTTGAGAAATGTATGTTGTGTTCGGTGAAACTCCGTCTCTACTAAAAATACAAAAAATTAGTCGGATGTGGTGGCGGGCGCCTATAGTCCCAGCTACTCGGGAGGCTGAGGCAGGAGAATGGCATGAACCTGGGAGGCGGAGCTTGCAGTGAGCGGAGATCCTGCCACTGCACTCCAGCCCAGGCAACAACGAGACTCTGTCTCAAAAAAAAAGAGAAATGTATGTTGTGTTCATGTAAGATGGTCCTATAGGCACTACATCCCTTTTCTCATAATGCGAATGAAAACGAGTTATTTTCTTATGTTCGAGTTGCATTATATCTCATATATTGAGTTTACAAAAGCAAAAATTCCTGAATCCCTCAAAATTGAGAATGACTATACTTACACTAGCCAGATACAAAATCTCTACTAAGTAAACAGACCCACATGTTTTATTTGCAGACTTATGTTTTTATATCTTCTGTTGGGGAATATGTTTCTTCTTTAAACAAACAAGGGCTTCTTTCCCCATTGATTGTGTACTTCTGATGATGTTTTAAAAAAGACTTTCACAAGGGAGGGATGGGTCCTTAATCAAGACTTTAAAATGAGGGCAATAAATATATTTTATTGGTTATAATACCTTTTTCTTTATTAGAAGGATAACAGACTGCTGGTTAACTGGTCATGAAATATTAATTAAAAAGAAAAAATATATGATAGAAGTATCTCAGTGAGTGCTAACTCATGCTTTTTTTTTTATTATTATACTTTAAGTTTTAGGGTACATGTGCACATTGTGCAGGTTAGTTACATATGTATACATGTGCCATGCTGGTGCGCTGCACCCACTAACTCGTCATCTAGCATTAGGTATATCTCCCAATGCTATCCCTCCCCCCTCCCCCCACCCCACCACAGTCCCCAGAGTGTGATATTCCCCTTCCTGTGTCCATGTGATCTCATTGTTCAATTCCCACCTATGAGTGAGAATATGCGGTGTTTGGTTTTTTGTTCTTGCGATAGTTTACTGAGAATGATGATTTCCAATTTCATCCATGTCCCTACAAAGGACATGAACTCATCATTTTTTATGGCTGCATAGTATTCCATGGTGTATATGTGCCACATTTTCTTAATCCAGTCTATCGTTGTTGGACATTTGGGTTGGTTCCAAGTCTTTGCTATTGTGAATAATGCCGCAATAAACATACGTGTGCATGTGTCTTTATAGCAGCATGATTTATAGTCATTTGGGTATATACCCAGTAATGGGATGGCTGGGTCAAATGGTATTTCTAGTTCTAGATCCCTGAGGAATCGCCACACTGACTTCCACAATGGTTGAACTAGTTTACAGTCCCACCAACAGTGTAAAAGTGTTCCTATTTCTCCACATCCTCTCCAGCACCTGTTGTTTCCTGACTTTTTAATGATTGCCATTCTAACTGGTGTGAGATGATATCTCATAGTGGTTTTGATTTGCATTTCTCTGATGGCCAGTTTACTGGGATTTTTTTTCTGCATAAAGTTAAAGGTATGTGGACCCAGTCATGTCACCCACAGGGAAACACCAGCTGGTCTCGTAGCTCGCATACTAGAGGCTCATCTGGTGACAGCAAGCCATGGAGTCTTCTCTGCACCAACATTTGGGGCTCACATTGCATTTGGACATAAGCAGTCAGAAAGCATGCCCAGGACAAAGTGTTCCTGACAGATCTGCCTCTGCCTCCAGGACCAGATAGACCTACCCAAAGCAGTGTGCGTGAACACAGCAACTCTGCATGGAACATTCTGTTTTCACCAAGCAACGCAAGACAACAAGAACTCTTTCTGCCCCAGGCACCCATCTTGGCTAACTAGAGCCTTCCATAACTTCCAATGAAATACCCACATTTCTCCCAGATTCTGTTTTTACCCATGCACTTCAACTGCTCCCCTCAACTGGCTAGAAGACGATTTACATCTTAAATTTAAGAGAAAAGGCAGATGTTTTAGGATGGCAGGGGAAAATAATCCTCAAATACTGCCTGTAATATTAAAAATGGAGTTAAGCGAAGTTTCCATGGGCAACTCTGATATACTGATCTCATTTCGCTGGAAGGGACCCTGACAGATAGAGACAGGAAAGTAACCTCACACTCAACTGTGGGGAACAGCAGAGGTGTATGTTCTGTGGCCACCCTCCGAGGAGAAAGGACTGACTTCAGTCCTCTGCAGCAATCGGCATGGCAACCAGAAATCCCCAACGACCCACTTGCAAACTTTAACATGTAGTGAATCACCTAAGGCAGCTTCTGATTCCACAGGTCTGGAGCGGAGTGGATGATTCTCAGCCCACACTGGGAACAAGGAGGCCCTCTCCTTCTCTCCCTGAAGCTCTGACTCAGGCTGGCCTTTGTCCAGTAAAGTGAAAGAGAAGCAGAAACTTCACTGAAGCCTACAGGATTTTTTTTTTAATGCAAACATTAAGGGCACAGTGGCTCACGCTTTTAATCCCAGCATTTTGGGAAACCAAGACGGGAGGATTACCTGAGGCCAGGAGTTCGAGACCAGCCTGAATAACATAGCAAGACCTAATCTCTACAAAAAAGAAAGAGAGAGAGAGCGGATCACCTGAGCCCAGGGGGTCCAGGCTGCAGGGAGCTATGATCACACCACTGCACTCCAGCCTAGGCAACAAAGCAAGACCCTGTCTGTAATAAAATAAAATAATAAAAAATAAATGTAAACAAATGATTTACTGTGGATACATGATTCTTGGTGACTTCTAAAATTTCAGTCAGTACAATATCATCTACACAATAAGTAAAAATAAAAAATCTTCAACAAAAATTTAAACAACTTTTGAAATAATTGATAATCCCAAGGTACTATTTCCCTTTCAGGAATTTTCTTTACTTCCAAACATGAGCAGGATTGGGTGTTTTATTTTCCCCCTGATTAACAATTTATTTTCTTTTAAAAATTATCGTAACAGTAAAATTCTCTTTGTTCTCTTTGGGTACACAGGTCTATGAATTTTAATACACAGATAGATTTGTGTAACCACCACCAAAATTGGGATATAAAACAGTTCCATTACCTGTCCCCCCAAAATTGGTGGAATTTGGGTTCCCAAATTTTTACAGCTTTCTCTCTTTTCCTAATTCCTCTTTGCTTCCACATTTGCAGACAACATTTTTAAAAAATAAAATTAAGTATTGTTTTGCAAAATCATCCAGAAAATTCATATTCTCCTCGAAGTCACAGAAGACAAAAGAGGGCTGAGACTCGAAGGCTCAGAACTACTGTGGCAAAATCTTGAGGTTAACTGAATCTGAGTGAGAAGTATACACAGCCTCCTGGTTTGAGCTCCCAGATGGAGAACAAGTTTGCTCAGGTTCAAGAGTGTTGTACTTGGACCTTCCTGAGGATGGGAAATTCTCTACAGTGGTCTCTTTATTGTATTGCCAGAGTCAAACCCAGAAGAAAGTCCAGGCTGTCTCAGAGCCAGTAGTGACCTCTAAACTCTCAGCCTCAAAGTTGGAAGGCAAAGCACCCCGCTGCCTGGGGATTGCATCAGAGCCCCAAAATGGGTCACCGGCAGAAAGCAGAAACAAGTCAGGTAATTTCTTCTGTTTCAGCTTCCAGGGCAATGGAAACTATGGAATCTATACACCCAAAAAGTTTCAAATCACAGAAAAGCTCTCAGATTCTTCAATTATTCATATTAACAACTATGGGTAAAAGAATAAGCCTTCAGGAGATGACAGAATTGCCTTCATTTGGGGGCTATTTCCAGCCCCTGTATACTTTTAACTCCATTCATGCTGAAGAGCTGAAGGTCTTTTAATACTGCCTTTGATTTACGGAAGGGAAAAAAAAGATGGTATTACTGAAAAGACCCATTACTCCTGTGCCTCGTCATGTAGTTCAATGTTAAGTACTCTACAAAACTGAATCCTTGGTGGAATGCAATTCTGTAATTCAATCGAGAGATCTTGCTAATGTCCCAGTCTGCAAGAACATAGCTTAAGGGTTTAGGTTTAGAAGGAAACCTTGCAAACCAGAGATGGAATTACAGCCTGCCTCTTCAATCAAGAGATGAGTGAGGGTTGTTTGCAGTGTAATATTAAACAATTATTAAGATTTTTTCAAAGAAAGTGAAAGAATTATAAAGTTACGTTTGTCTCTGTGGGAAGGTAAAGGAAGAAGAAAAGACAAAACACCAGATGGGCAAAATGTTGATCACTGTTGAAGCTGGATGTTTAGAAAATGGGGACTGAGTATACCATTTTCTCTACTTTCCTATGCATTTTTACAATGCCCATAAGAAAAAGTTAAAAAAAAAAAAGATGCCACCAAAAGTACTATGATAGGAAAATAACACTTCTGAAAACTCATGGAATTTGTAGATGTTTCTCACTTGTGTATTAAATGTCAATATAAATAAATATTATGTGATAACTTTTGCAAGATTATAGGGCCCTTAGTGGGTATAAATGAAGACTTACTGTCAGTGCTGGGGTCAGATATCTTCTAAGTGGACTAAAGGAAGTTTCTTATGTAATGAAGCCTGTGCAGTTGTCTCATTACGTATTATTCACACAGACACTTGCATGCAATATTAGATACAGTCATGCACATCACAACGTTCCTATCAACAATGGACTGCATATCCAACAGAGGTCCTTGAAAGATTATAATACATATTCTTACTGTAGCTTTTCGATTTTTAGACATGCAAATATGTGCCATTGTGTTCCAATTGCCTACAGAATTCAGTAATGTAACATGCTGTATAGGTTTGCAGTCTAGGAACAACAGGCTATGCCATATAGCCTAGGTATGTAGCAGGCTGTACCACCTAGATTTGTGTAAGTACACTCTGTGATGTTCACACAACCATGAAATCACCTAACAATGCACTTCTTGAGACATACCCCCATCATTAAGCAATACATTACTGTGTACATATTCAGACTTCCAAATAAAAAAATTAGAATGCTGGAGACAGGCTATTTGCATCACAAAAAGGCCATTGCCATATTCCTTTAAACACCACTGCATATTAATAATACGGCTCAAGAATTTCTACTTATCTAACAATCTGTTTCTTAGCTCTAGCTACAATTATACTCTTCTGGGGAGCATTTGAAAAATACTTACTCCCAGTCTCTACTCCAAACCAGTGAATCAAGCTGTCCAGATGATTTTAAAATGCATCCAGGATTGAAGGCCATGAGGCTACTGCTCTCAGGAACAGAGCTAAGACTTAGAGTAAGGAGAGTTCTTCAGAACTTATCAGGATAACCCATCAAGATGCCATATTGTTTGGAAACCTCAAACATTCATGCTAAGTAGGGAGGTATCTGCTGTGGGGAAATTAAATTATAATGAAAGTCATAATATGCTTAATGTTAAATAGAATTATCTACGTGAAAATGGAAGAAAAAAATAAAGCCAGATTTCTTCCCCAAACCTCTGACTGATGGACCCTAGGCTAGACCTTTCAAATGTAAAATAAATTTAATTTCTGGCCCAGCACAGTGCCTCATACCTGTAATCCCACACTTTGGGAGGCCGAGGTGGGCGGATCGCTTGAGTCCAGAAGTTCAACACCAGCCTGGGCAATATGGAGAAACCTCATCTCTACTAAACATACAAAAAATTAGCCAGGTATGGTGGAATGTAACTGTGGTCCCAGTTACTTGGGAGGCTGAGGTGGGAGAATTGCTTGAGTCCAGAAGGTCGAGGCTGGAGTGAGGCATGATCGTGCCCCTGCACTCCATCCTGGGCAACGGGAATGAGACCCTGTCTCAAAAAATAAATACATAAACTTTACAAAATGAAAAACTAAAAATATTTAATTTATTTAAAGGCATAATTAAACCAATAATTACATTATTATTTGAATAAAATAAATTGTGATTGCTACAAGTTATAAAATGGCCATAATCATCATTGTCACTCTGCAAACATCTCCTACCTCCACCTCATCTGTGCCCCATTTGGGAATCCGTAAAATGTATGTTGATGAGGCAGCTGGGTTAAACCCACAGTTCCCATAGGGGAGGGGTAGTTTTCACCAACACCAAGGGAAAGGCCTTACCCTGAGCTCTCTTCTCTCTTCTGACAAGCAATAGTTTTTAACGGTGTGGGCACAAGTTAAAACCAGACTTGTATCCTTACTGGAATTCTGTTACCACTAAAATTAAGCATTGGGCGTAGATGGGACCCCCAGTGAAGGCCCAAGGAGCTCCAAGAGCCCAGCCCCCAACCATTCCCATTCTGCCTTCTCACAGCTTGTCAGCTTTCCAACCCTAAGCCTTTTGTCTTTTGATGTTTATGGTTTATGTTCATGTTTCGGCTTTAACTTTTAACATGTTTTTACTTCCTTATAGAATTTAAATGCAGACTCCCAGTGCTGGAAGGTCTGAATTATTCTTTCACCTATGGGCCATGCCGTAAGTCCTGAACTCAACCATCAACATCAGAACCTACCATGCAAAATTTCCTTTCTTCTCTATCCAAGATTGAGTCTAACACACCATATAAGTTAGTCCTAATGGGACTAAAAATCCAAAATCAAAATGGCTTTCTCTGGATCTTATCTGGCATCATCCAATTTTTCTGTCTTTTAAAACAATTATTTTGTGATCAGCCTACATCATTCCTAAATCAGCTGCTAGGTAAGAAGTATCAGAGTAACTAAAGAAGTACCTAGAACTTAAGCTCTTAAGCTTGGAAATAAGACAGACTTGGAATCCGGCTAACTCTGACATGTTGGCCAGGTTATTGACCTCTGTGAAACGAAGGAGAGACACCTGCAGTGTCTAAAAAGTGGATTGATGGGAGAATCAAAAGAGATCAGCATCCAATACACTCTCATTAATATGCATCATTAGATACTAGCAGAGAGGTACAGGAATGCACAGAAATGTTGTTAGAAGGGTGTCTTCCCAAACTGATGGCAGCTCGGAGACGGGAGACTGAATTGAGATATGTGAAATACGACCTGCCAATCTTACTCTGGGTACTCGTGTATTATTTGAGCTGCTTATAATACTGCAGTGAAAATATATTATTGAGTCCCTTTTAAAGAACAGTTTGTCCTCCTCTCTTTATCAGATACTAAATGTAACCACTTATTAACAATGCTGCCAAGGAGATGAAGTAAGCAGGGGGAAAATATCCTGACTTGTGGTGGGTTGGGTGATGGTGGATCAGCAACGGCTTGAGGACTCTCTAGTGAAACACGCAGTAGGAGGGAAATAAAGACACAGTAAGGAGGCTGAGGAGAGCAGTTCACTTGAGGTCAGGAGTTCGAGACCAGCCAACATGGTGAAACCCCATCTCTACTAAAAATACAAAAAATTAGCCGGGCATGGTGGCAGGTGCCTGTAATCCCAGCTACTCGGGAGGGAGGCTGGGGCAAGAGAATTGCTTGAACCTAGGAGGCAGAGGTTGCAGTGAGCTGAGATCACACCACTGCCCTTGAGCCTGGGCGACAGAGTGAGACTCTGCTTCAAAAAACAAACAAACAAAAAAAGGTCTGGACCAGACTACCGCATTATCATTGGAAATTGGCTCAGTAGGAACTGAGCAAAGTGGACATTTTCAACCACACCCTCCCCATCACAGTGATGTGCCTCATGGCATGCGATTCCTTGGAAGAGAGTTAGGAAAAGCTCTAGGTAAAGTTTGGTGGTCCTGGGAACTCTCTTCCATGGAATCTCATGCCCTAGAACTTTGCGTTTGATGAGATTTGATTAGCTTGATGGGTTTGTCTGTCTAATCACAGGATAGTCTTTTCTATCTTTTTCTCTGTTCCCAGCATCAATTCTTATTTAGGGGAAGGAGGTCGGGGAGCAGGTTCATAAACATACATTTCTTGCTTTCTATGCTCAAGGCTGTCTGTTCTTAAACCAACAGTGTCACCTGTCACACAATATCAGAAGGGGAGACAAGCCCTCCTGGCTTTGGCCTAGCCTGATTTCAGCTGCAAGCAAATAAGAGACCAGTATCAGCTCACCTCTATCCCACTAATGCTTTTGAGGATCCATCTCCCCTCAGAATGGGAAGGCCTCCAGTACAAAAATGATAATGCATGGGTGGTACAATCACAGCCAAATGCAAAAGTCATTGCTGAAATACTTTAGTGTACAGTGATATATTTAATCTTTACAAATACACTGTTTAATCCTCTTCTATAGATAAGATGTGAATTATTATCCGTATTTTACATGTGACCCAACTGAGGTTCAGAGAGATGATGGCTTATTCACTCTCATGCTGCCTGTCGGAGCACAGACAGACTGACATTTTCTTATTCCTAACCTAGTGCCCATCCTACTGGATCACAGCTGCCCGGTCACTATTCAGCACATACAGGCACTAAGCAAAGCACAGAACTGGACACTGCAGAGGAAACAAGAACAAAAGTTCCTGCAGCCGCTCAAAATCCAACAAGGAGAAGACTTTCATGGGATGAAAAAATAACTGTGATACCAGTACTAAACATTCGAAAATAGGTAAGAAAAATCAATACAGGCCAATAAAAGCTATGGGACCTGAGGATTCAAACTGAGTAAAAGGGAAGATTTTTTTTTCAACAAACAGTTCTTCACAAATATTTATTGAGCACCTACTGTGTGTCAGGAAATTTTCTCCAAGATTGAAGACCTTGTACTTTTCTTTTCCTGCCTCTCACAGCATTTGGAGAATCTGGGGGTGGGGGAGATATGAAAGAATACACCTGGATGACTTTTTGGGGTCCAGGGAGTGCATAGTTGATGGGACCTTCCTTCCATGAATGGTGGATGATGCTGGGCTGAGACCCAGGACGTCGTGCTCAATTACACATTTGCACATGGCTGTCTCGTGCCCATCCCCCATCGAACAATCCATACCTTGACCATTCATGGGACCAGATTAGGCTTTAGAATCTACCTAATGTACCATGAAATGTGTAGTGTCTCCAGTAATCAAAGCGGCCATGCTGACCCGACCTCCTTGGTAGTCAGGTAGACCTGTCAGGCTCCGCAGCCGTATTCTTCTGCTTTTTATCCTTTCAAGTCACTGTGGGAAAATAAATCTCAGTGCAACTCCTTCCAGCTCATCAGTCTTCCCAGTTCACCCATCCACATCCACATCCTTTATTTTTCTGTTTTCCTGAAGCAGTTTCTCCTACATCCCAATCGGAGCCTGCCCCCAACCAGGGTAGCTGAAAAGGTGATCCCAAAAAGGATTTGGGGTGTTATTTTCTTCAGAGGAATTGTGTTTTTTTAAAAACATGTTTTATTTGTTGCTAATTTGAGCGATAGTATTTGCCACAGACAAAGTTGCATGCTTAACACTGGGCCCCGAGCTGACCCTAAGTGGTTTTAAATCTAACTCAATTAAGCAATATCACATTTAACTAATTAATTAGCAAAGGCTGTGTGCTTACTGTATGCCAGAAGTTGCATATAGAAAAATAATTGATCTCATTTATTACATGATCATTTTTCAAGGAAGTTATTGTTAAATCCATTTGAATGAAATAGATAACTGAGATTGAAAGAGGTTAAGACATTTGCCTTAGTCTCATACCTTTGTTTCATACACACTTCCATCACCTCCACGTAGACCCTCTGTTCTGTCAGGCTGTTCTCCTCATTAAGCCATCCATTTCACAATGTCCTTGACCTTTGAGTCCTGTGGTCCATCACCCTGGCTTGGAATATCCTCATGAATGCCCGTTCACACCCCACTTACCCTTTGTAGTCAAGAAAGCTCCTAAATCCTGTTGAACTTTTCTTGACCACTCTAGTCTAGTCCACAAAGTTCTCCCTCTCTTCTGAACTCTTCCACAGCAGCCAATAGGGAGCCTCTGTGCCATTTCTTTAAAGGATTGTATTTGAGAACTTTGGTGATTAGTTCCATATCCTATATTTTGTACCATTCATAGTGTTGTACACATAGTAGATGATCAATAAACACTTGACCAACTGACGGATTGACTGTTTCTAAACCAGTCTCCTGCACTGTTGGAGATCTTAGAAAGATAAAGGAGGTCCTATAAATGTTTATTTTTCAATAAATCTATTTTTATATTCTTCTGATGGAAGGTAGGAAATTAATCTCCTTTTTGCATACTATCTTTTGCCACACTCTTTTTAAAAGTCTCAATTCTAGATTATACTCTTTTTTATCCCATCAGCAAAAATTTAACCATTTTCATTTCTTGGACCAAATGCAAAATGTGAACTTAGTGACTCCAATTAATTATAGGGAGTTCTTACTAACCAAATCAGGGATTCTCTGTCCAAGAACGAAAAGCTGATGAAGGTCTTAAAATCCACCAACAGCTCCGCCACTTCTTACACTGCCCCATTCGTAGCTACAATCAGAACTGAGTTGCCTTTGTTCCCCTAGAAATGATCAGCTGACACCCATCAGATCCGCTGATGTACACACAGGGTTAGGTCGACCAGGGCCCGAAGATTTCTGCATGCCACTCTTTGTGCAGCCTAACGATACATGATTTTAAAGTTCTTAACCCACCTCTCCTCCCTGCCCCCCAGAACTAATCTATATGCTAATTTGCACTTGATAATGCTGCCCCACAATATGGTAATTGCTGTAATGTTTTCCAGGGAGAAAAAAAAAAAGTAGAAATTGAGCTACAGCTTCAGCGCTGATGCCTGCGCAGTCACAAGACGCTCTGCACAGACGGGGTATCAAGCCAGAGCCCACGTCCAGCAATTGGCCACACTGAGGTCAGAATGAAATCATTCTGGAAAAACTGGAAATGCTCTCCTAGGCCACACTATTTTGAAATGATCCTCAGAAGCGTGATAAGTATCAGAGGCGGCAAGCTGTAGCCGCCTGAGTTAAACCTAGCTGCGTTCCCTCATCTGTGTGTTAGGGCCTTAAGATTTACAGAAAATCTCAAACCACTGATTTGACAGTGCAACCTTTAAAACACGGCCAAGCCTTCCAGGGCTTCTGGCTTCTCCATATCACCTTTATGTGCATGAAGGTACTTTCCTTTTTGCCTATTTCCCTACATATGCTCTCAATGCTATTAAGATATCAAATGCAGGAATGACAACAAGAGAGTCCTAATTAAACAGCAGCAGCGTGTGCCCTCGAAGGAACAGCCTGAACCCAAATAAGTGGAGCTTGGGACCGGAAAGGGGGAAAAAGACAATGGGGGCTTTGAAATCAGCTGGGTTTAACGCAACGGGTCTGTTGTGTGTATTTAAAAGGCCAGATGACACGAAGGGCTCTCCGTGCTGTTAGGACAGAGACCAAGCTCTGGATTCACCAAGACAGATGGGTAATAGTCACTGAGTCCTGTGACCAGAATCCAATTGTAATTGGCCTCAGAGATCACTTATGGCAATCAGGGAAGTAATAGGCTTCTGAATAATTATGAATAATTAGGCACATTTATGAATAATTACACCGATAATAACTATCTAATTCACTCCATTTTAAAATAGTAATTCAGTCATTATGGATTGGGTGCTCACTCCCTTCATCCTGCCTCTGCATATTCATGGCCTAATCCATCCTCCAATCTTACAATGACTGGAGTCCCTCTCCAGGTCAGCACTGGACTCACCTTGGGGACAAAGGACCATCCTGGTCCTCGGGGTTGGAGTTTCCTATCCCTTTGATTAATTTGAGAGGACTCTGGGCAGTAGAGAGATCAGAAAGGATATAAGAAAATATTTTCCTAAAACATCGAAGCTTTGCCATCTTGTGACTCATTTATCAATATGCAAATGACTTCAAAGTAATGTCCACGAGCTCTTTGCTCTTTTCAATACTGATGATAAAAAGAAGCAGCTGCTTGCACATGTCATTGTAGAGAATACCAGTGCATTAGACAAGGGCAGTCTTTTTATAGCATTTCTGATCGAGTACTAGTCTGCTTAGAAAATCAGGAGTCCTGGCTGAGTGCGGTGGCTCACACCTGTAATCCCAGCACTTTGGGAGGCCAAGATGGGCAGATTGCCTGAGCCCAGGAGTTTGAGACAAACCTGGGCAACAAAGGGAGACCTTGTCTCTACAAAAAATAATAAATAACAAAAATTAGCCAGGCGTGGTGGCGTGCACCTGCAGACCCAGCTAGCTACTTGGGATGCTGAGGTGGGAGAGTCACTGGAGCCCAGGAGGTTGAGGCTGAAGTGAGTCAAGATCGCACCACTACACACTCCAGCCTGGGCAACAGAGCAAGACTCTGTCAAAAAAAGAAAGGAAGAAAGGAAGGAATGAAGGAAGGAAGGAAGTCAGAAGCCCCGATTTGAAGATGGAATCTTAAAATGATGTGTCCTCAGGCTTCAGACATAATATGTCCTCGCCCTGTGGCCATATTCTTTCCTCCCCCATATTCTCTCCTTTTCTTTTATTTCTGTTCCTCCCCCTTTTCTTTCCCTCCCCCCTCCACCATCGTTTGCCTACTTCTCTATCACTTTCATATCTCTTCCTGTTATATTCCAACAACGACAATCAAAAGTTAGCTTATATTTTTCTGATTCCAAACATACTGTCTGTGAACTCAAAAAAATTTAAAAACATCGGGATGAGAAATTTTTTTAAAAAGTTAAAAATCAATAATCTCAGCACCAGAGAGAAGCAATATTAACTTAATACAGTATTTTAAGGTGTTTTCTAAACATACTTTACACAACTGAGATTGCAAAAACAATTTTGCATCTTGACATTTCCCTGAACCTTATAGAATCAGCATTTTCCTTATTGTTAAAAACTCATGTTTGATGGTAAAATCATAAAATATGAAAGTATACATGATCATTAATTCCCTAAACTTTGGCAACTCAATATTTCCCATTTGTGCTATTTTGCCATGCTCTTTTGTGGGGCAGTCTTCTTTTGTTCTTATATCTCGCCACATTCTTTCCTGTTCCTTTCTCTTCCTCTTAAATTAAGACTTGGGTATAAGGAGGTATGCTGCCCCTGAATTAAGACAGGGGAATAACGTGACTGGTTTAGTGCACAGGAAGGCTTACCACACACAATCTTTTCAGGTACAAGCAACATTAATATCCCGCAGTTTAACTATCAACAAAATCTTTTATGCAGAATTAACCATAACAGAATTCCATCTTGGACCCAACCCAAGGGGGCTCAGTAACTGAAATACATTATGATGCATCCTTTCCTGAGGCTTGATTACAGGAAAATTGAGACATAAATGGCATCCTATTGAGCTTCTGGAATACTAGTTTCCAAATAATTATCAATGGATCCCATACATGAGAATTGCCCAGGGAGCTTTTTAAAAATGTGTCTTCCCGGACTGCACCAAGTGATATTTTGATTTAAGAGATCAGGAGGGAGGATCAGGCTGGGCAGGAAAGAAGGCAGCAGATATGCAGTCTCATGTCTGCCATGCCAAGAATCCTGCATGTAATTTACCGAGGAGCAATATGGTCTGATGAGTGGCATGGTCAGACAGACAAAGGAGAATGAAGACTCCCATGCAAGTGACTGGCAGACACTGGCTGATCATGAGAAAGGACACCATGTGGTATGAAGACAGGGCTGGAAGTATGTGGATCAGTTAAGAAATTGTGGTAACCCAGAAATCTAGTTTACAAATGATGAGAACATGAAATGAGGCAGTACCGTAGGGGAGTGGAGAAGCACATTGATATGAAAGCTGTATATGGTAGAGTTAATAAACTCATGTGAATGTTGGATGTGAGAACTAAAAGTCAAAATCAGGATGACCCCCAGTTACCTGACTAGAATGAAATCCAGGGGAGCAGCAGCTGGATTTGGTGCAATATGGTGGGAGGAGGAAGGGTGATATATGATAGGTGGCCATGATGAATTCAGTTGGAAATGATTTATCCAAAAGAGGAAAAATTCTCTCTTATCACAAGGTCAGGAGTTCAAGACCAGCCTGGCCAACACGGTGAAACCCCGTCTCTACTAAAGATACAAAAAAATTAGCCAGGCGTGGTGGCAAGTGCCTGTAATCCCAGCTACTTGGGAGGCTGAGGTGGGAGAATCGCTTGAACCCGGGAGGTGGAGGTTGCAGTGAGCCGAGATAAGGCCATTGCACTCCAGCCTAGGTGACAGGGTGAGACTCCGTCTCAAAAAAACAAAAAAAAAGAGGAAAAGTTTTGCTTTGCTTTCTTCCCCTCATATGGATATTTGTATATGATGCAGTGCAATAGCACCCCAGAGAAAGTGAAGCCTTCTTAGGCTGTTGGCCTTTTATGGGGAGCACAATAGAGAGAGGCTCTCATAGTACAGATACCTTCTCTCATCTGTTCACTGTATGCTCTGGAGGGGGGCGATCAAATAATTTCTGTGGGATTTGTTTCCCCAGGTAACCTGAGGACAGAAAAAGCCACACATCTAATCCAGCGGGATGCTGGTTGTAGGTCTTTGCAAGTTCTCTCTCCTGGCATGTTCAGACATCTGCAGTTCCTTGCACTCAACAGCTCTAACTAGATCTGATGTCACAATCTCCAAGTCCCAGTAGGATTTCCTGCAGACTTTGAGGAGACTTGACATCCAGAGGAAGATTTACCACCAAATCCCAAAAATAAAGCCCAGGGGCTGCTCCTTGGGACATTTTAATCTAAGAGTTGGAAGAATCGAACATTTTACTGAAAGAATATGGACAGACTAATTTTTTTTTTTTTTTTTTTAGATGGAGTCTTGTTCTGTCACCAGGCTGGAGTGTAGTGGCATGATCTCACCTCACTGCAACCCGACTCCCTGGTTCAAGCGATTCTCCTACCTCAGCCTCCTGAGTAGCTGTGATCACAGGCACGTGCCACCATGCCCGGCTAATTTTTTGTATTTGTAGTAGAGACTGGGTTTCACCATGTTAGCCAGGGTGGTCTCAATCTCCTGACCTCGTGATCCACCCACGTCGGCCTCCCAAAGCGCTGGGATTACAGGCGTGAGCCACCGCACCCGGCCCAGACTAACTTTAAAAAGAGAGTTAACCAGTGTTTGGGTTTGTCTGGGGGCAGTGTGGGGTTGAGGTTCATTTTTGTTTTTATTTGGGCATTTTATCTCTAAGGCACTGGCTAATTTCCTACTCTAAAAAAGAAACCCCTGAATATTTCAAAGGAAAGGGAAAATAACAAGAGGAAATTCAAGGAGAATTTCTCAGTGGATTTTACTGTATCTCAATTCCCAGTATATTTTCTAGGTGAGCTAAATGGAAGAGACTAAGAAATACATCTTGAAATTATAAAGTTATTAAGAATCATGATTATAAAGATTATTCAGCAACCTAGGAACATGTCCCGGAAAAAAAAAAAAAAAAAAAAAAAAAGCAAGCTATTCAGGTAGAGATTCAATGATTGCAACTATAATTTTAAAGCATAGAAAAAGGAATGGGAAGAAACATCAACAATGTTCCTGTTAGATTCATGATCATACATTTTCCTTTCATCTATTCTACATTTTGTTTTATAACACGGTCATGGTTTTTTTAAAAAGTGCTTTGGTCAGATGAGGAGAAACTAAGAGGAGGAGGGGGAACCCGGAAAGGTCAAGGGTCTTGCCCAAGGTCATAGTATAACCCGGTGGAAAGAGCTAAAAGTAGAACACATAATTTGTCATGAGAATCACAGTCTCCCTTGAGCCAGCAATGGGAAAAATGCAGCCTCACCAGGCCAGACTCAGTTTTCCTAACTCAGCTATCACCTTTGATGGAAATGGAAGCCCCCTGTTTGGAAAAGCAGAAATGAGGACCCTTTCCAGAGTAGTCCCAGGGAACAGAAGGTCGAGCCGTGAGAACAGCTCCATTTTTTTCTTAGCAAAGGGGACTGCACTCACCAAGGGAGCTGCCACCCCCTTGGTGGCAGCCTGGGTCTGTTGTCGCAGCAGGTCCCCCTCCTCCTTTCTTGCCCCATTCTCCCCAACCCAGCAAACAGGGGCCATGACCACGTTGTTGTTCTTGTTATAAGGTATTTGGACAAAGCTTCTGCTGCTGTCCAGCAACCCCCGCCCCCTCTGCCCCCAGCTAAATCCAAATGATTGATAAGGGGAATACTTTGAAATTTTGAGATGGGGGTGCTGGTGGGCAGAAGGAAAGAGAACACGCTTCAGACAAAGAGCAAGACAGAGTGGGTGGCGTTGAAGCATGGGGGACATTAGAACCTGTCAAGGCTGGAGAATGATTCATTGAGGTAATGATGATAAACACTTCATCTCTGAGCATCTATGTGCATTTTACCTAACAATCTCAAGCGTCCATACTTGAAGAAAGGCTCAGAATAAGTCATACGAACACACCCAAATGGGAATCCCTTAGGAATGGGATCTGAATTGTAAATGCCTGCCTGAATTTCACACATCAAATTACAATAAACAGAATGATATTTTAAGCAGCTTGGTACTTAAAGGGCACCATGCGGAGTCCTGAGGATTTTCTTTTACTCTAGAATTCCAGTCTGTGCCAGTTGGAGCTTTGCATATCTCTCGCTCACTTGGACATTTCTGGTTGTGGATTCTAAAGTGAAACAGAGGTTTCTCATCAATAGCCAAGTCCTTCTCTTGCCACAACATAGTTCCTGTAAAGCCAGGTGCCTCCGCAATAGAAGATAATGCCTGTGAGATTGAATACACATGGACAATAGCCAGATCATATACAAAAATAGAACTCCAACCCACGACCTGCAGCAACTAGCCAAGGAAACCAATCCCTTATCTATAGTAACCAATCCAGGAAGCCAGCCCACTGTCCATCTACAAGTCAGACCATTACCTCTAGCAACCAGTTCAGGAAGTCAAGCAATAACATCCATAACAATTGGCCCAAAATGTCCAGGACTTCATTAATTGTCCCCTGAAAAATTAATCTCTAACTTTTGCTCCCACTTCCAACTTAGGACCAACCAGAGAAAGTCAAATATGTCCTCTTAACTAATCACATGGGATGTCTGTGTTTCCATCCATTCACGTTGCTATAACAAAAGACTTTAGACTGGGTAATTTACAATAGCAGAAATTTATTTCTCACAGTTCCAGAGGCTGGGAAGTCCAAGATCAAGGGGCCAGCAGACCTGCTGTCTGGTGAGGACTTGCTCTCAGCTTCAAAGATGGTGCCCTGTGGCTGTGTCCTCCCCTGGCGGAAGGCAGAAGGATGCACTCACTCCCCCCAACAACCTCTTTTATAAGGGCACTGATCCCATTCATGAGGGTTCCACCTTCACTACCTAATCGCCTCCTAAAGGCCCTACCTCTAAATACTATCACACTGGCAATTAAGTTTCAACAGATAAATTTGGGGGAGACACATTCATACCACACACCCTGCTTCTAGTGAGCTGTCTCCAGTTTCCTCAATCAGCACGCGCCTGAAGCCTTTGCTCTGCTCCACTCTGAGGCTTCTCCACTCCTCTGTCTGCATGTGAGTTGCTAACAAAGCACAAGTAATGTTGACCAATTCCCTTGTTATGACAAGTTCTGAATAAGTAACCATTGCCTCTTCTCATTTGGTTGGTCTTCGCTTATTTCCACATGCCTCAGACTTGCACTTCCAGAAAGTTTTAATGAGAAAAAGTCCATCAAATCAGTCCTTAAGGAGTCCGAGGACATACTGCAGGCCTGAACCTGCAACTCCAGTAGCTTGAGTCAGAATATGGCCTATAGTGACCACCCAAGTCACTGCAGTGTTTTTCTTCTGTATTTTTCACTTTAGCCATTGGCTTAGCCATGGAAAAACGTACATATGGGAACACTCTCAGGAAGTAGCTTTATATCATTCTCTGAAATAGGAATTGAAATAAGCCAAGTCTGGCTCAACTAACAGCTTGAAATAATCAGATTCTTAGCTATAAGCTTTTATGATCCGCATCAAGCATATTAAAGAGAATTCTGGTACAGAGAATAATAAAACTAATCTTACATATTGTGATTTTTAAGGGTAATAGGAATGCTACTATGAGCCTCAACTTATGCCCTCCACTGACCTGTCATCAGGCCTAAATTTTCTTCATTAGAGACTAATTTCTTTGAGTAAAGCACTCCTCAGAGTCACTACAACCAAAAGACTAAATGCACACCAGAATCACTTGAAAAGTTTTAATGAATAAGGGCTTCCTACACCAGACCTATTTCCTTTCCCAGGGTATGGTCTCAGAAATTCTCTCTTTTTTTAATTGATAAATACAAATTATATCTATTTATGGTGCACCAAATGTTTGTTGAAAACTGTATGTTTGAAAGATGTATACATTGTGAAATGGCTAAATCAAGCTAATTAACATATGCATTACCTCACATACCATTTTTTGTGGTTAGAATACTTAAAATCTCTCTCCTCCCAGTTTTCAAGTGCACAATACATTGTTACCAATTACAGAAACAATAGATCTCTTCAACTTATTCTTTGTGTCTAGCCAAAATTGTGTATCCTTTGACCAACATATCCCCACCCCAAACCCAGTAACCATTCTATTCTCTGCTTCCATTTCAACTTTTTGAGATTCTACATATAAGTGAGATCATGTGTTATTTGTCTTTCTGTGCCTGGCTTATTTCACTTAGCATAATGTCCTCCAGGCTCATCCATGTTGTTACAAAAGACAGGATTTCCTCCTTTCTTAAGGCTGAATAGTATTTCATTGTGTATATACGCCAGTTTTTTTAATCCATTTACCCGTTGACAGACACTTAGGTTAATTATACAGTAGTCCATCCTTATCCATGGCTTCACTTTTCATGGTTTACCTGTGGTCTACCACTGTCTGAAAATATAAAATGGAAAATCTCAGAAATAAAACAATTCGTAAGTTATCAATTGTGCACCGATCTAAGTAGTGGGCACTGTCACCTCTCAAAAGACCCTTGCTCGGCCAGGTGCGGTGGCTCACACCTATAATCCCAGCACTTTGGGAGGCCGAGGCGGGCTGATCACAAGGTCAGGAGATTGAGACCATCCTGGCCAACATGGTGAAACCCCATCTCTACTAAAAATACAAAAATTAGCCAGGCGTGGTGGCATGCACCTGAAAGCCAAGCTAATCAGTAGGCTGAAGCAGGAGAATCACTTGCACCTGGGAAGTGGGCATTGCAGCGAGTCGAGACTGCATCACTGCACTCCAGCCTGGGTGACAGAGTGAGACTCTGTCTAAATAAATAAATAAATAAAATTAAGCATTATTTACTATTATTATCTATAGGTTTCACTCACTACTCAGAATTGAATTATAATTTCTCTCCGCTATATATCTGTTGGTTTGCCTGATGACACACAGAATATAAGAAACTTAAAATGATCCAGCCTAACAATTCAAAATTACAAAGATATGGAACCAACCTAAGCGCCCGTTGACCAATGAGTAGATAAAGAATGTGGTATACCAACTTCAAATTATACTGCAAGGCTAAAATTACCAAAACATGGTACTGGTATAAAAATAGGCACACAGATCAATGGAACAGAATAGAGAACACAGGAATAAAGCCAAATACTTACAGCCAATTATCTTTGATAAAGCATGCAAAAATATAAATTGGGGAAAGGACACCCTATTCAATAAATAGTGCTGGGACAACTGGCTAGCCACATGTAGAAGAATGAACATGGATCCCCATCTCCTCAACTTATACAAAAATCAACTCAAGATGAATCAAAGACTTAAATCTAAAACCTGAAACCATGAAAATTCTAGACGATAACATCAGAAAAACTCTTCTGGGCATTGGCTTAAGCAAAGAATTTATGACTAAGATCCCAAAAGCAAATGCAACAACAACAAAAATAAATAAATTGGGCCTAATGAAACAGCTTCTGTGCAGCAAAAGAAATAATCAGCAGAGTAAACAGACACCCCACAAAGTGGAAGAAAATGTTTGAAACCTATGTATCCAACAAAGGACTAGTATCCAAAATCTGCAAGGAACTCAAACAAATCAGCGAGAAAAACAAAAATAATCCCATCAAAAAGTAGGCAAAGGACATGAATGGACACTTCTCAAAAGAAGATGTACAAACAGCCAACAAACATATGAAGAAATGCTCAACATCACTTCATCAGGGAAATACAAATCATGGCCACAATGAGATACCACCTGACTCCTGCAAGAATGGCCATAATTAAAAAGTCAAAAAACAATAAATGTTTGCTTGAATGTGGTGAAAAGGGAATGGTGTTACACTGCTGGTGGGAATGTAAACTAGTACAACCACTATGGAAAACAATATGGATATTCCTTAAAGAACTAAAAGTAGAACTAGCATTTGATCCAGCAATCCCACTACTGGGTATCTACCCAAAGGAAAATAAGTCATTTTATGAAAAAGACACATGTGCATGCATGTTTATGGCAGCACAATTTGCACAAACAAAGATATAAAACCAATCTAAGTGCCCATCAACCAGAAAGTGGATAAAGGAAATGTGGTATATATACACCATGGAATACTACTTAGCCATTAAAAGGAAGGAAATAATGCCTTTTGCAGCAACTTGGATGGAGCTGGAGGCCATTATTCTAAGTGAAATAACTCAGGAATGGAAAACCAAATACCATATGTTCTCACTTATATGTGGGAGCTAAGCTATAAGGACACAAAGGCATAAGAATGATATAATGGACTTTGGGGACTTGGATGGGGGGTGATGGATAAAAGACTACATATTGGGTACAGTGTACACTGCTTGGGTAATGGGTGTACTAAGATCTCAGAAATCATCGCTAAAAAACTTATATATGTAACCACAAATCACCCGTACCCCAAAAACTATTAAAATATAATTTAAAAATTAAAATCAAAAAAAGAAAAAGGAAAAAAAGAAAGTTTATGTATATATAATATATAGTATATATATAGCATATGTTGTATCTATATATATATTGTGTGTGTGTGTATACATATATATATATAGTGGGTCTATATACACACTATGGAATACTACTCAGCCATAAAAAAGAATAAAATAATGGCCTTTTGCAGGAACTTGGATGGAGTTGAGGCCATTATTCTAAGTGAAGTAACTCAAGAATGGAAAACCAAATACCATATGTTCTTACTTATAAGTGGGAGCTAAGCTTTGGAGCATACAGAGCAGTACAGTGGACTTTGAAGACTAAGAAGAGGGGACAGGTAGGAGAGGAGCAAGGCATAAAAAACTACATATTGGGTATAATGGACACTATTCAGGTGATCAGTACACTAAAATCTCAGACTTCACCACTATACAACACATCCATGTAACCAAAAACCACTTGTACCCTAAAAGTTATTGAAATTTAAAAAAATTTAAATTATGCAGCCTAGTCAAGTGTTGATTAATTGAATATTGCAGTGAAGTAATACATACATCGAGGGTCAGTATATATAAACATATAAGAATTACAGTATACTATAATATACATATCATTCAAGCTACACTGCCAAAACATAACTTTTCTTTGATAATTCAAGAATTCAGGATTTTTGAATGCCTTATGATCATTATTTTGAACACTTATTTTACGGATTGCATTGTTTTCCTGTGATAGAGATTTCTAGAGAAAAATACTGAATAACAGACAGCTTTCATATAGGAGTAATAGTAGTAATGATATTGATCATAATATTCAATAATATCATGAGTGCTGACTACATGCCAAGCATATAACTCATCCTTGCCTTACAATCATTTTAACAGACTCTTCTGATACCCTTTTGTGCTTCAATGCAGATTTCAAGAGACCAGAAGACCAGCCCAGGTCAAACAGCCAATAAAAGGCAGACATAGGAATTTGAACTCTGACCTATCTTCCCCCAAGCTCTTTTGTTAAAAGCTCTCGGGCTTCCACAGCAAGGTTCAACCTACAAAGAACTAAAAATGAGAAAAGAAATATTGTATTGATGAGCAAGTAAAAAACAGCCCATTTTATAGGAGAAAAATTGCAAGGCTAAAATTTCATTTAAAAAAATTTTTAAAGAAAAAACAGCTAAAATAAAGTCAAATTTTAATTGAAATGATACTTAAAAAGTGTTTTATAATCTATTAAAGACCTTACAAATAACATATTACATAGTCTACTTTAAACGGATATGGAATGTGTAACCTTATTTTTTGTTTTAAAGTGGTATTTGAAATAGCGTTAAGCACCCTGCAAGTTCATATTTCTAATGTAATGGCTACATTTCATCTCACTGTTACTTTTATCTTCCTATCTCCAGAGGCTGATGGAAAAAGACGTATTAAATGTGATAGGATCAGTAGAATTTTGAGTAATGTCAAATAAAATGCCTTACGTGTTGTTGCTGTTTTGATTGTATGACATCTTATAGACTTTGTTCTCTGCCAGAATGATCAATCTGTCACTTGAGTTATTTGACTATTGATTCATTTTCAGAAATGTGTTGACATAAGTCTTACTGTGAAAAGAAAAGCAGCTCCCCTGTCTCCTGATACCAGATTCTGAGTCTCGGGTCTTTGGCTTTTTGCATGATTAATGTTGTTCTGAACCTAAAGAATCAATAAACATTTTCTGAAGCAGAGATATCTACATCCCTAAAGAGGGTTGCCTATTTAGTTTCCTACTCAATCTACAAAATGCATTACCTTGTAATGAAAGGATCAGGCCTGGCTGGTTGATGTGAATCAGGAAGTCTGTTCCAGTGTATTCTTTTCAATGTGAAAAGTCCTACATTTAGGAGTACACCAAATAGCCCCCCACGGTGGCCTGGAAGAGTAACTACATTTACACATTCCCAAATGACCCAAGTTAAATGTTGGGAGGATTTCATCCTTTGAGGACTCTATGTTGAATGCTGCTGCTAATTGTCTTCTTAAGAGAAGAAAACTGAAAGAAGCGTGCACACACATACACTTTATATAGAATTCTCTGGAACAGACAGCATCATCCTTAAGGGCTTAGAGATCCACCCTGTTCTAGAAACATCATTCACTAAGGTTGAGAAAAACTTGCTTCCCCCTCCTGAAGACATGTAGTTTGGCTCTTCTGCCTCTTTGGGAGAGAGATATGGCCTAGCTGTATATAAACACAGATGTGTCACCCACACAAGAGCCCAGGAAAGAAAACAAAGGACTCAAAGCAGTTGATACGGAAAAGACAAGAGAGGAATCTCTTTGGAATCCTCTCTTCTTCCACACATTACATAGAATTGTCCTCAAGGATAATAAAGCCACAACTTCAATCCTTTTCAAGGTTAGAGCTCCTTTCCAAGTAAAGCAAATGAAATAATGTGAAGGCAAGATTTAATTGTGTGAAGGTAAAACAGGAATTCAAGGCAAATATCAGGTATTATTGACTCCCCTCTGCCTCTGACAGCTACACACATTCAATCACACTCCTTCGGTGCCAAGGAGCGTGACAAGGCAGTCCAGCCATGAGTAAAACCTGACACGGATCCACTGTTTCAGTCTATATCACTCCAGACCCAGGGAAGGACAAGGAAAACTTGATGGCTGAATGCATGGCTGAGCCCTTTGTCTGGCAAAAATGAAATTCTTGTTGTGATTCTGGTCTCCTGAGTTGGGGTTGATTCACAAAATTAAGTAAGACAAGGAGAATGTGATCTGATAAGCCTGGAAATGACTGCCAATTCATTCAGCCTGAATGGGGTTCCCACTGGGACCTTGTCAACACACTGGATTTGAGCTCAAGAGTTCCAAGCTTTTCCTGTAAGAGTTCCATGCCACCCAGGGTCACCAGCTTAAAGAGGAAGAATGGGAAAACTTAATTTTCTTAAACAAGATGCCATGGCGAGCTCTGGGTTCAGTGCAGCAATGACTCCAAAATCAGCCAGCTTCTGGGGCTATTTGTGGCACAAATCTTCAGGGAGAATTCTTTCCATGCCTGGAAAGAAGAGAAATTAGCAATCCAACCATGTCATTGAACCAACCTGGGACATTATTTAATACATCTAATTACATGAGAATAATTTCATTAGCACCAGCTTTCATTTGAATATGCTGCAAATGGTCCAAAAAAATTATATCTCCTTCCTGGAATACATTCATAATGAGATTTTGTGGCTGAAGATTTACTCCATATGACAACTACAAGGTACCAAACTTTGAGCTAAATGAACACGCTAAACAAGCAGGCAGTACTTCTTGGGTTCCTAATTATCATTATTTACAAAGTATCAATGAACAGAGTGAAATTCTGTAAAATGTTTGAAGACATTTATTCTAAGCCAAATATGAGTGACCATGGCCCACGACACAGCCTTCAGGAGACCCTGAGAACATGTACCTAAGGTGGTTAGGGTGCAGCTTGGTTTTATACATTTTAGGGAGACATGAGACATCAATCAAATACATTCAAGATATACATTGGTTCACTCCAGAAAGGTAGAACAAATAGAAGTGGGGAGGCTTCCAGGTCGTAGGTAGATTTAAAATTTTTCTCATTGGCAACTGGTTGAAAGAGTTGTTATCAATAGAAAGGAATGTCTGGCTTATAAGAGGTTGTAAGAGGAAAGGAATGTCTTTGGAATCCTCTCATCTTCCACACATTACATAGAATTGTCCTCAAGGATAATAAAGCCACGATTCAATCCTTTTCCGGATTGTAAAGGTTTCTTTTTTTTTTTTTTTTCTTTTTTTTTTTTTTGAGATGGAGCTGTTGCCCAGGCTGGAATGCAATGGTGCTATCTCAGCTCACCGCAACCTCTGCCTCCAGGGTTCAAGTGCTTCTCCTGCCTCAGCCTCCCAAGTAGCTGGGAGTACAGGTGTGCGCCACCACGCCCAGCTAATTTTTGTATTTTTAGTAGAGATGGGGTTTCACCATGTTGGTCAGGCTGATCTCAAACTCCTGACCTCAGGTGATCCACCCACCTCAGCCTCCCAAAGTGCTGGGATTACAGACATGAGCCACCACACCCAGCCGATTGTAAAGGTTTCTTAAGGTTTCTTCAGACTTAAGGTTTGTGCTGGTGTTAAATGCTGGTCAGCTTTTCTAAATCCAAAAGGGAGGAGGGCATAAAGAGGCATGTCCACCCCATCTTCCCATCATGGCCTGAGCCAGCCTTTCAGGTTCAGTTTGGAGGGCCCTGACCTAGAGGAGGAAATCCACTCAGGTGATTGGGGGCAGGCCTCCAAACTTTATTTTTGGTTTACAAAAGTATCTCATAACCACCAGGCAAATGTCACTGAAGTCCTATGCACCACTTTACCAAGAAAAACTAAGTGAAAGACATCTTTGCAGAGGCCAGAGATCACTGGATTCCTGGCTCCTTATTAACCATCCATCTCTCTGAAGGTGGAGAAGAGGGCTTGGAGGCAGGAGAGCCCCACACATCTTCCACTCTCTCTTATTAGGCTGCAGTGACCTAGGTTTCTTGCTTTGGAAGGGTTTTCCACCAAGAGCAGAAAATAAGGCTTTCCCCTCTTTCCTGCTCTCTCCCTCTCCATCTCTCCTCCCCACCTTCTCTCCTTTCTCCTTTCCTCCCTCTTTCCCTCCTTTCTTCCCTCTCTCCCTCCCTCCTTTCCTCTCTTCCTCACTCTCTCTTTCTTTTCTTCTTTCCCTTCCTTCTATCCCCCTTCCTTGGCTCCACTCAGCACCACCAGGAAGTAGACACTCACTGATGAATCTTACTACCTAATAATGTAAGCATTCTTATTTTAATTTTGGCCCAGGCCAGTCTCAGGATATTTAGCTAAGTGTTATTATAGAGAATGCACTCACCCCATGACACCTTAAAGACTAACCGATGAATATGTCAAAAGATGACATACACAGCATCAACTGGCTAGCCTAAGAAGTTGGCAATCACATGATCTTTCATTAACTTTATTTGACTTGGCCAAGCTGCCCTCTGCCTCTTCAGACCCCTCCTGTTGCTGGTGCCCCTCTGTGTTTTATTTTCCTTCTGCATCCGCTAGAGGCCTGCATCTCTGCCAATCGCCACCAGTTCCCCTAACTACTTAACCGTATCTGGTATCCAGTAGCCCTGAAATGCCATTCTGTTGGAATCAGCAGGAAAAGGACGGCAGTTATAGATGAAGGCGGGCCACCAGTAAAACCTCATTAATACCTGCAGCTTTAGAGAAAGGAGAGAAACAGCCATGCTTCAAAAATGTCAAGAACACAAGATGACAAAAACAGCATTCTTCTCCCCTAACCCTGCTCCAATCACCCCCCTCTAGCCCCACACCAAGAACAGTAATGTTTTATGCAGAATGACTGCGAGAGAAAAGGCATCCCCAAAAAGAAACCCAAAGGGAAAAAAATGCACTAAATTCAGTCCTTCTTCGCCCATAACTCTTCTGCCACCATAAGTAAGTTCATTCCGACATAATCTCTACTAGAGCAAAAGAGAGCTTCAGGTGAAAGGTTACCTACATTTATAATGTCAGGCACCGGGCCTGCCAGGTAAAAGGTAAATGGTAATTTTGTCATTAGCATGCCTGACCCCTTGGCCGCACCATATCTCACAGGAAACAGTAAGAACAGCTCACCTGTCAAGATGCAAATGCTTAAAGGTCAATGCGCACAGAAATCTTCCAGAGCTCACAACTGAATTGCTGACACCTTTTATTATTGCCCGCTTAAATAAATGATTCAAGGGGCAAGACAAGGAAAGATGGGCTTAGTGTCGAGATTTACATGAAGGGTTCTTGGAGTTTTTTATTCAAAATAATAAAAAGGAAAACCTTTGGCTCTGTTTTAATATTCAGGAACAAGCAAAGCTTCAGAACTTTACAAACATTCCTAGGCTTGAAGGATTTTCAGTATTCCTCAAAAAATTCACTATCAGTTTTTAATGTAATTATGTAAGGAACTTCCTCTCCTGTTTTGCATTTTATTTGATATAGAAATAATTTCTCCATTTTTTCTTCCTTTTTACTGGGGGCAGGAAAGCAGATAGTAAGGAAGTCTTTCGCAGCATTATATGAACATTACCCAATTTAAACAGCAAAAGGGATGAATAGAAATTAAAAAAATTTTTGTTTACAATTAAAATCATAGAAAAATTGCATGTTGGGACTGGGTGCGGTGGCTCACGCCTGTAATCCCAGCACTTTGGGAGGACGAGGCAGGTGGGTTATCGGAGGTCAAGAGTTTGAGAACAGCCTGGCAAACATGGTGAAAACTGATCTCTACTAAAAATACAAAAATTAGCTGGGTATAGTGGCAGGCACCTGTAGTCCCAGCTACTTAGGAGGCTGAGTCAGGAGAATCGCTTGAACCCAGGAGGCAGAGGTTACAGTGAGCCAAGATCGCGCCACTGCACTCCAGCCTGGGTGACAGGACACGACTCTGTCAAACAAAAAAACAAACAAACAAACAAAAAAAACTTGCATGTTGCTTTTAAAGCAAGCATGGCAATTCCTCAAATGGTGAAAGATGGTCTTACCCCACAGCCCAGCAATTCAGTTCTAGGTGTGTACCCAAGAGAATGAAAGAAAGAACTTGAACGAATACGTGTACACCAATGCACGTAACAGCATTAATCATAACAGCCAAAAGGTGGAAGCAACCCAAATGTCCATCAACAGATGAATGAATAAAGATGTAGTCTATCCGTACAATGGAAAACTATTCAGCCTTACAAAGGAAGGACATTCTGGCACATGCTACAACACAGATGAGCCTGAAAAACATGCTAAATGAAATAGGCCTTTCACAAAAGGACAAATAATGGATTATTCCACTTATATGAAATGTTCAGAATAAGGAAATCTATAGCGGCTGAAAGTAGATTAGTGGTTACCTAGGGCTGGCAGAGGGTGGGGAAGATTGGGGGAAGATAGATGACACAGGGGTACAGAGTACCTTCTTGGGCTAATGAAAATGCTCTAAAATCTGTTGCAGTGATGGACACGCAATTCTGTGAATATTCTAAAAAAGTAAGCATGGCCAGGCATGGTGGCTCACGACTGTAATCCCAGCACTTTGGGAGGCCAAGGTGGGCAGATTACCTGAGGTCAGGAGTTCAAGACCAGGCTGGCCAACATGGTGAAACCCTTTCTCTACTCATAAAATACAAAAATTAGCCAGGCATGGTGGCGTATGCCTGTAATCCCAGCTACTGAGGAGGCTGAGGCAGGAGAATCATTTGAACCTAGGAGGCAGAGGTTGCAGTGAGCTGAGATCATGCCACTGCACTCCAGCCTGGGTCAAAGAGCAAGAATCCGTTTCAAAAAAAAAGAAAATGTAAGCATGATCTATTTGGATGGAAATGCTAATATTGCTAATGGGATAAAGGCAGAATTGCGGGATAAAATACTACTCTTATTTGCTAAATCTCACAAGTCTAGATAAAAGGGCTCTGATAAGTGCTGCAAAAAGTATCTTATTATTAAGAAAATAATAAAAATTTTATAATTTAGAATTTTTCCATATGTTATTAGAGAACTGACAGTTTCTCTGAATTTGTATCTACATAAAAATCATCAACCTTTTATTCAGACACAGAGATCACTAGCTTCCCACTAGTGCCGGCAAGTTGCAGGTTCCAGTCCGAAGCCTTTACAGATGTTCCTGCCAAGCTGCAAAAAGTCAGGGCTTCCAGCCCTCTGGAAGCATTGTGGAAGGTTAGCTACCTTTCACTAGCTCCTCACTGGTCAGGAAGATGGCTTATCACACTTAGAATAGTTCCCTACCCTGTACTTAAATAAAACCCTAACCTCTTTTGAGTTACTTTATCACAGCCACTCTTCTGTACCCCACACATTGCCACAATGTTGGTGCCTGAGGCCATTCTAAAAAAAAAAAATAAAGATCACTAGAATGCCAAGCAAAAGATGGGGTTGGTCATTTGGAGGTTTATATTTTAAGCTTCAAAGACTATAAAAATGGGCTCAGGGAAAGAAAATATATGCAGAAGAGATGTGTACAAATAGTCTTAAGTATTTTTAAGGGTGCCAACTCTAATTTTATCATGATAAACCAACTTAAAGCAAAAGAAGATGCTAACTGCAAACTTTACATCTGAGTACCTTCTTGCTATTCCCAAAGAGGCAACCAACTTCCAAGAAAATCTGTTTGTAGCATTATTATGGACTGAATGTTTGTGTGCCCCCCACCAAATTCCCATGTATTGAGATCCTGACCACCAATGTGATGGTATTAGGAGGTGGGGCCACTTTGAGGTAATCATGAGGGTGGAGACTCATGAATAGGATTAGTGGCCTTATAAAAGGGATCTCAGGGATCTCATTCACTTTTCCATCACGTGAGGACACAGCAAGAAGATGCCATCTACAAGGAAGTGGGCCTTCACCAGACACCAAATCAGCCAGCACCTTGATCTTGGACTTCCCAGGCTTCAGAACTGTGAAAAATAAATGTCTTTTGTTTATAAACTACCTAGCCTATGATATTCTGTTTTAGCAGCATGAATGAACTTTAAAGCAAGCAATTACCTTCACAGACATCAATGGGCAGCTGTCATGCATCAACTGCCCCACTAGATAATGGTGTGAGTGATCCCTACAAAAATAGGATCAGCCTAAGTCTTCCAGGATTTTTCTCCCAAAGGATCTAATAACTCTGCTTCACCCTCATTTGCCAGACTTCCTCCCTTGGGTCTCATGGCTTCCTCTAAACCATCCCATTGGCTGCTCTTTCCTTCCCCACTCATTACTCATGTCATTTTTAAAACTAACTGAAGAGAGTTACCATCCCACACTATGGGATCCAGTCTGTCTCTCCTAACGGAGCTGAGGTTCTAGGCAAGCCTCATCCTGTCCCTTCTTCTCCTCCTCCCTTTCTTCCCACTTCCTCTACCTTTTCCTCCCTTTCTGTCCCATTCTCCTTCCCACTCCTCTGTCCCATACACCAAATTCCTACACAACTTGTGTAGCTCTCTGAGAACCATTTGTAAAGAATTCACTGAAGTTGGCAGTTAGGGCAAGATACTCAGACAACTAGCATTCTTCCAAAAATCCTTACTGCAGGGAGGGGTGGCAGCCTGGGACCTGCTGGTAGGAAAACCTGTTGGTAGGGGGACAGCCTGTGAATAAAACCAATCTTCCGTGGACCCTCTCAAGATCCCCCTTGCTAGGTCAGCTCTGTGATTGACCATCAGGCACCAAGAACTGGGAGCCCCAATCTGTTGGTACTACTTGAAAGTCTGGGCTCTAAGAAAGCTCTGCACAGGGCCAAGCCTGTCCTGAAATGACAGAGATGGACTTCCCTTCAAGCCTACTTTCTCTCTCCCCACATCTTCTTCATTTGGGAGCAGAAGGAAGACAAGGTTAGGACTTCATTAGGCTTCTGTATGTGTGGATCAGTTTGATTATTTTTAAATATAATAGAGTGGTCTTAAAGAAGCACATGAATAAACTAGTCACTCTCTAGTAGAGCCTGGAGTTACCACTAGGAGCAATAGGAAGAGCAACAACCAGTGATAGATGCAGCTAAATCGGATCATCACCAAACCTGAGCGGGCAAGGCCCTATTACCATTTGTCTAAGGGGTAGGATATAACCCAGGTACATTTGGGGGTATTCCCTACCTGTCTGCACATGTATTAGAGCCCCTTGTTTAGCGAATTTCTGGAAAACGTAATATGATCAATAAATTCAAATTCTGAACAATATATCACTTCAGCTGGCTATGAGGCAGCATGTAGACCAAGGAAGAAAAGAGGCTCTTGCGTTTTTCATTACAAGTTTTAGCAATGATTAAAGATAGCTGGAGCATTATTTTATTTATTCTGCTTGAATGAATGAAATAAAAATTACCAAAGATTATTCCATGTTACATGGCCTGAGGATAAATTTCCTCATTTAAATCCTAAGACCAGATCAAGTTATACTATGCCCTATGACTGTATAATTTTACTTTTATATAATGCAATGATCAAAACCCTTACGTTTGCATTTCTATGCAATACATGTAAATATATGTGTGTATACAATTATTTGAGCATAAAGAAAAATAAAGATATATTCTAGGCTGTAAACATCTGTTGGAGGATTACACAGGAGAAAAGAATAAGAAAGAAGCATGTGAACGTTGGACAAAAAAGAAAAAATAAGATCAAAAAACATTAACAAATATGGTATCATCCTATTTACATTATCTTAAATGTTTTAATTTAAATTTTAAGAAATTTATATAATTTTATTCATACGGAACCAAAAAGAGCCCGAGTAGCCAAGGCAATCCTAAGCAAAAAAAAAAACAAAGCTGGACACATCATTCTACCCAACTTCAAACCGTATCACAAGGCTACAGTAACGAAAACAGCATTGTACTGGTACAAGAACAGGCACATAGACCAATGGAACAGAATAGAGAACTCAGAAATAAGACCACACACCTGCAACCATCTGATCTTCAACAAACCTGACAAAAACAAGCAATGGGGAAAGAATTCCCTATTTAATAAATGGTGCTGGGAGAACTGGCTAGCCATATGCAGAAAATTTAAACTGAACCCCTTTTTTACACCTTATACAAAAATTAACTCAAGACAGATTAAAGACTTAGGTGTAAAATCCAAAACTATTAAAACCCTAGAAAAAAATCTAGGCAATACCATTCAGGACAAAGGCACAGGCAACGATTTTATGACAAAAATGCCAAAAGCAATTGCAACAGAAGCAAAAATTGACAATTAGGACCTAATTAAGCTAAAGAGCTTCTGCACAGCAAAAGAAACTATCATCAGAGTGAACAGGCAACCTACAGAATGGGAGAAAATGCTTGCAATCTAGCCATCTGACAAAGGTCTAATATCCAGAGTTTACAAGGAACTTAAGCAAATTTACAAGAAAAAAAACAAATAGCCCCATTAAAAAGTGGGCAAAGGACATGAACAGACACTTCCCAAAAGGAGGTATACATGTGGCCAACAAACATATGAAAAAAAGCTCAGGCCAGGCGCGGTGGCTCACGCCTGTAATCCCAGCACTTTGGGAGGCCGAGGCAGGCGGATCACGAGGTCAGGAGATCGAGACTATCCTGGCTAACACGGTGAAACCCTGTCTCTACTAAAAATACAAAAACTTAGCTGGGCACTGTGGCGGGCGCCTGTAGTCCCAGCTACTCCTCAGGCTGAGGCAGGAAAACGGCGTGAACTCGGGAGGCGGAGCTTGCAGTGAGCCGAGATTGCGCCACCGCACTCCAGCCTGGGCGAAAGAGCGAGACTCCGTCTCAAAAAAAAAAAAAAGAAAAGAAAGAAAAAAAGCTCAACATCACTGATAATTAGAGAAATGCAAATCAAAGCCACAATGAGATACCATCTCACACCCGTCAGAATGGCAATTACTAAAAAGTCAAAAAACAACAGATGCTGGCAGGTTGTGGAGAAAAAGGAATGCTTTTACATTGTTGGTGGGAATGTAAATTAGTTCAACCATTGTGAAAGACAGTGTGGCGATTCCTCAGAGACCTAGAGCAGAAACATCATTTGACCCAGCAATCCCATTATTGGGTATATACCCAAAGAAATATAAATCATCTATTACAAAGATACATGCATGTGCATGTTCACCGCAGCACTATTCACAATAGCAAAGACATGGAATCAACCTAAATGCCCGTCAATGATAGACTGAATAAAGAAAATGTGGCACATATACACCATGGAATATGATACAGCCATAAAAATGAATGAGATCATGTCCTTTGTGGGGACGTGGATGGAGCTCGAAGCCATTATCCTCAGCAAACTAACACAAGAACAGAAAACCAAACACAACATATTCTCACTTATAAGTGGGAGCTAAATGATGAGAACACATGGACACGTTGTGGGGAACAACGCACACTGGTTGGGGCCTGTCGGTGGGTGGGGGCTGAGGGGAAGAATGGAGAGCACCAGGAAGAATAGCTAGTATATGCTGGGCTTAATACCTGGGTAACATGGCCGGGCGTGGTGGCTCACGCCTGTAATCCCAGCACTTTGGGAGGCCGAGGCAGGCGGATCAAGAGGGCAGGAGATCGAGACCATCCTGGCTAACACGGTGAAACCCCGTCTCTACTAAAAATACAAAAAAAAAAAAAATTAGCTGGGCGTGGTGGCGGGCGCCTGTAGTCCCAGCTACTCGGGAGGCTGAGGCAGGAGAATGGCGTGAACCCGGGAGGCAGAGCTTGCAGTGAGCCGAGATCGCGCCACTGCACTCCAGCCTGGGCGACAGGTGACAGAGCAAGACTCAGTCTCAAAAAAAAAAAAAAATTATATATATATATACACACATACATATATGAGAGATCTAATGATATCTATATCTATATATCTATATCTGGGTAACAGTTGATCTGTGCAGCAAACCACTATGGCACATGTTTACCTATGTAGCAAACCTGTACATCCTGCACATGTAGCCCTGAGCTTAAAATAAAAGTTGAAGAAAAAAATTTATATAATTTAAAAAATTAAACAATAAGGCAAGGCAATTTTTTAAAGAGAGTGATTATGGCCCTTCTGTATTTGGGTAAAATTCCTGCCGTGGTAGAATTGGCAGCACTGAATCGTGACTGCCCTATGCTTTTTTCTAGACATTCTCAACGTGTGAGCTGCATGAGGGTGGGGCATGTGTTACATTGTACCCCACCAACATGCCTGGTTCCCGGAACATGGGTATTCATTCGTTTGACTGAACGAATAACTGACAAGGCAGTCACTTCCAATAGATCCTCATAACAGACCAATAAAGGGAACAGTGGATTATCCTCCTTAACTGAGAAAAGGAAGATACACATTGTAAGACTGCACAGCAACTCTCTGACATAGCCTACCAATTTGATGGATTTTTGAAAAATATTTTCCCTCTTCTAATTTCAGATCCAGTGGAAATACTCATGTCCTGTTTTAAAAAACAAAGTAACTTCAGAATGCAAAATGAACAGATAATAAGTGTCACTTGCCTTTCAGACAAGTTAAACATTCTCATTTGTTTCCTCTCCCTTGACCCTTTACAATCTCTGTTGTTTGGTGTCATAAAAAAGCTAGGAGGTAAACTCTCAGGAATACTTTTCCCCTGAACATAGAGTAAGAAATTGAATTTTCCATTTCAACGCACCATTTGTACCTTCATCATTCAGGATTATACAGTATCCTTAACATAGATAAGAACAAAATTGTTGTAGCCATATTTCACGGTTGCTTTCTAAAGAACTCCTGCTGAATTGTAATCATCTCTCAGTATTGCTTGTGGGTGTCCATTTAATGAGAACTTCTTTACAATTTTCTAGAAAATTGTTAATTCCCAAGAATTTATATTATTAAGATCATTAAACTATGTTATTTTCAATAGACTATTAAAGATGACGCTAATAATGTAAATTTACTCCCTGACCCTGCAAAAGAAGTTGATATATGCTATTTCATTATATCTTTATCCTTGCCTTTTTAAAAAGCAGATCCTTATCTTCATTTACTTTTTTTCAATTTTTCAATTGTTAAATTTTTCTATGTAAAAAGATGCCATTTGACTTGGGGAAAAACCCCTTCAATTTAAATTAGAAAGTTACACAAAACACTAGTAATATTGTTTTACTTCACTCATTACTTAAAAGCAATATTTCCACTTTCTTTTCCCATCTTCCCTCTGCCTCTAAGTGAACATGGCCTCATAAACACAGTTCACAGAAGCAAACATGTTTAGCTGTGTCAGACTCAATTGGTTCCCAGAGAGCTTCAGACAGGGGACATAAAAAAAGGCGACAGTTTCAGAAGCCACTAAAATTTTATACTTGGCTTTGTGACCAGGATTAACGCCTTTTAGCAAAACCCCCTAAGAAATGCTGGTTGCTTGCTCTGCGCCCATCACAACCATGAAAACTCCCCAACACGTCAGCCTTCCTCATAAACAGTAAGTGTATTGTAAAACCGTTTACAGCTGTTGTAAAAATATTTTGACTATTTTACCCAACCACCTCAGTAAGACACCTGATACTAGTTAAAGGAAAAAAAAAAAAGAGAGTTTCCCCTTTTCAATCAAACCTTCCAAAACTGAGGGTGGGTGGAGAAGAGGAAAGTTCCTTTTCTATTAAAGTCATATGTTGCTCTGCCTAAGCAGCACATCTGTTATAAGGTCTCATCAAAAAAAAGTGTCTTTTCTTCTCTGGTCTTTATTTCCAGTAGCAACGATAAGCTTCCAGCTTCTGTTTTCCATCTGAGAGAGGTCAAACATTTTATTGGGATGGAGTCCAAGCTACTGTCTGTCAAAAGGAATAGAGAAGCCAAACCATTCATGTAGGACATTTCCAGAGCTGTCCTAACAAAGTTGCTTCCTCCAGGCATGCTGCCCCTATGAGCAGCAGGCTCGAGTTCAGCCCCACGCCGGCCCCAACAGCCTGGCACCCTTGTGAACACCCACACAACTTGGCCTGCACTCTTCAGCTCTGTGTGCAGCTCCTTATGTGATTACCAGACACACTCCAATCATAGTGCCCACCTGAAATCCAGAGATGATCTCTTATTTCACATAGGTATATGGACTGAGAGACTGAAAATACAAATAGACAGAGGGTGAATATACAAATAAGCAGACATACATTTTTTAAAAAGTGACCCACAATCTATGCAACCAGCCCAGGAAACCAACCCATCATCTGCAGGAGCCAGCCCAGGAAGCCAGCCTGATGTCTATGACACAGACTTTTAGGAAGTCAGACGCTATCTCTAGTAACCATCCAGGAAGCAAAACAAAAACCGTTGTAACATTTGCTCCAAAAGGGCCAGGACTTAATTAAAAACTGACAGTTTTTCTAATTTCTGTCCCTATTTCTGAGGACCAAGCAGAGAAAGCCAAGTTGCACTCTACCAAATCCCATGGGACACCTCACTTCCAGTGAGCCCCCTCCAGCTTCCCGCACCAGCAGCCTCCAATCAGCACACTCTCCGAGCCTTCCCTTTCCCCCACTATGAAGCTTCCCCACTCCTCTGCCTGCCTCTGAGTTTCTGCCAAAAGACAAGTGATGGCAGCTGACTTGCTCATAGCACGTTCTGAGTAAGTAAACAGCCTTTGCTTATTCTCATTTGATTTTTCTTCATTTATTTCCACACGACAAAAATAAAAATTCTTTCCCAATAACTTCCGGTATTTCTTCAAGGGCAATTCTATTACATGAATGGGCTCAGCTTTTTGAGAAAGAGTCTGGTATCCACTGCAAGTAGGAAGAGATGACTTCCGAATTTCTGCGGGATTTTCCCAGAGGGCTCTGTGAGGCGAGTGACTTGTTACACTGCCCTGTGCAAAATGTCCATGGGTCAGAGAAGAGAATGAAAGTGTAGACTTTACAGCCCCACTCCCCAGGGACATTTGGACTCCTGTGATAATTCAAAATTTTACCCAGACCCCAGGACTCATGTCAAACTCTATTTCTTCCCAAAATATCTTCCCAAGCCCTTCCAGAGGAGAAGACTTAACCCGAGGGCTGCCTTCCCAGCCTCAGCCCTCACACTGTACTTGAAATCCAACCATCCTGGTCCTATTTGTGCCCCTGAATTAAAGTGCATTTTCATCTCCTATAACATGCCTTTTCCCTAGCCCCCAGTAAATGTTTCCCCAATATTCAAGGCCCAGATGAAATGGCACTTCCTCTCTTTATCTTCCCCTAACTTCCCCAAGCAAAATTACTTGCTCCCTCATCTCTGTTTGCAGAACTGAATGTAAACCTCTGCAACAGAACTTGCCATGGGACATCAGAGCAATTTGCTTATATGGCCTCCCCCTAGATGGACAGATACTCCTCAAGGACAGGAACTGTGTCCTTGATATGATGTATGCTCAGTCTTTGAACTGTGTGTACGTCATATCTCTATAGCAAGTGAAACTGGAGGGAAGAGAAGGGAAGGGAAAAGAAGGGAAGGGAAGGGAAGGGAAAGAGGGGAGGGGAGGGAGGGAAAGAGGGGGGAGGGAGAAAGGAGACATGAGGGAAGGAAGAAAGGAGGAAAAGGAAAGAAGGAAAAAAGAGAAAAGAGAGGAAAGTAAAGGAGGGAGGGAGGGAGACAGGGAAGAAGGAAGGAAGGGAGGGAGGGAAGCAGGAAGATTTTAAGAGGCGCTTAGCACATCCAACCTTTATCATGCCCTTCAGTTTTCTACATAAAGCTCTATTTGCAGGTGCCATTTCTGTTCAGGCACACCTAATAATGTTGTAGTGAGAGTCTAGTATGTAGCATTTGCTAGTAACAGAGCAAAATGTGTACACCTCCCTGAAGTTGGTAAGACACAAATGCTATCTCTTCGGCGAGTGGACAGTCGGATGAAGAGTCCCGCCTGTGCCCCTCGCCAGCTCTGTGCTCGCTTCCTAAGCTTCCTGGACCCAAGCTTTGGCATCGGTAACATGAGAACGCTAACAGCAACTCAGAGGGCTGCTACTGTACAATTAAATTAGACGTGTAGGTAAAAGTCCTGGCACAGGAAAAGCAGTCAAGACATGTTTATTTCTTTGTCTGCTTTGATTTTCTCATCTTTATTCAGGCATTCAAAATCAGAATTCAGTAGACCTGGATTGTTTCAGGCACCCAGGCACACAAAAATCATTTTTCCTCCAGAGCTCAAATGCTAAAAGCTTTAATATTTTTGAGTGACACCTCCAAAACAGGAAGTTACATTAACAAGCAAACCCATCTTCATGGATGAAACAGAGTCACCAATCTCAGAGATAAAACACACTCAGTGCTGCTGTCTTAGAAAGCCACTTCTTCCTCTGGACTCTATCCACCCCTTCCTTCCCCACCCCCAAGTTCTCTCTCCAGGTCAAGAGAAAGGCTACCCAGACACAAGCCTCTCCACTCAGTCAGCTTTTAAAAAGAGCTCTGCATTCCAGGGAGCTGAACCACAGTAAAAACAAAAACATTGCCTGCAGGGAGGATAACAGAAAGGAATTTGGGGCATGAAACAAGCTGCCCATCTGACTTCAGAAAGCCCAGCCAAGCCCTCCAAGGGCAGCTTCGGTGACCCCTCGCCCCTCTCCTGGGGTACTTGCTGCTGCTCTGGTTTTATTTATACTGGTTGCCATCAAAGCAAAGGGTGAAAAATGGTTTAGGCAATTTGGTTGAAAGAGGGGGAGTAGGAGGAAGAGAGGGTAGAAAGAGTAATGATAGAGAGAAAAGAAATTAAAACTGTATTAAATAAGACAGGGAAACTCTACAAATAACCAATTTAATTGAGGGGAGTAAAGAACTGAGAAGAGTGACTCGAAGTTAGATTCTAAACAGGCCAGGTTTGTCCTTGGTGCCCTTTTCCAAAGGCTCTATTTGGAGTTATCGTCCGTGGAATTTGCTAAGCAAGGCAGAAAGATGGAGGGCTGTAAGGATGTGTGATCACAGGTCACTGAAGATGGCATCAATCTCTCTGACATCCACACACCTGAAACCAGGCTGCAAATACAAAAACAGCCTTCTTGAAACACAGAAGAGGTGCACTGTGGGCTCTGTGGGCTTCTAGCATAATAACCGCCTTTCTCCTCCAAACTACGAAAGGGGCTGGCTGGACCCAAGCTCAGAGCCCACCTGGTTCGTGCTGACCTCATTTTCAGGTATTCCCTAGGAAGCGATGGATGTGGGAAACCCAGCAGGCTGGGAGGCACCAGCCATTTAACTTCAGTTTTGAATGATATTTGTCTTCTGAGTTGGCCCTGCAGGAAAGGGATGAGTGGTCCTGAAGTTGTCAATACAATACAGAGTGAAGGCTGGAGGCTCATCAACATCCAAGAAAACTCAAGGCAAGACCCTGCCTCGTCTCGTGGAGTTTGTCTTGACCCCAGTAGAGCAGAATCTTCCCTCTTCTGTGCTCCCAGAACATGGAATCCACATCCCTATTAATCCGTCAATCACATGTATTATAATCTATAGATTTGCGTGTTAGTCTACTTAGTAAACTATGAGTCTCTCTCTAAGGACTGTGTCTCATCCAACTCTTTAACTCCAGTGTTCAGCACAGTACCTGGTATATTATAGATTTTCAGTAAACATTCATTAGATAAATGGATTAAATTGACCAAAACCTAAAAGAGAGAGACCTCTTCTTCAACTAGTCCCCACTGACACCAAAAGTAGACATGCTTTGGTGTCAAACAAGTCCAAAACAATTATTGTCCAAACAAATGGACAATAATTTACTCACTTTTATGTTTCCACCTGGCAACTTAATTTTGAGAAGCTAACTATAAATAACAACAATTTTTGCAAAAGATGTAGCAAATATTTCCACTTAAATTTATTTGTGCTGCTTCCCAAAGTGGCTGGGATCCCCAGAACTTTAATGAAGAATTCTAATGAATCCAGGCATGGTGGCCCATATCTGTAATCCCAGCATTTTGGGAGGCCGAGGCAGGTGGATCACTTGAGCTCAGGAGTTGAAGACCAGCCTGGGCAACATAGTGAGACCTTGTCTCTACAAAAAATTTTTTAAAAATTAGCCTGGTGTGGTGGTGCACACCTGTGGTCCCAGCTACTCAGGAGGCTGAGATGGGAAGATCACTTGAGCCAGGGAGGTTGAGGCTGCAGTGAGCCGAGGTTGCACCACTGCACTCCAGCCTGGGTGACCCAGTGAGATCCTGTCTCAAAAAGAAATAAAAGGAATTCCAATGATAATTTTCAAATACAATAGTCTCTGCTAATTTGCTGAGGTCAGTCTTTCAATTACAGACTCTTGAGTTCCACCCTAACCTCACTGCATTAGAATAGTCAGGGAAAGGATTTAGGAATCCACACATTTTGAACAAGATCTTCAAGTGGTGGTTAGGATCACGCAAATTTAGGTAGTGCTCTGTCAGGGAGTACTAATACTAGAAAAAGCAAGACATTAGGAGCCAAAGGACCTGTGTTCTCTACCTGTCATTTACTAGCTGTATCACTTTATGCAATTATTTAACTGTACTGAGTTTATTTTCTCATCTGTAAAGGAAGGGAAGTAATGCCTGCCCTACTTACCCAGCAGGCAGGGTTACTGTTAAAATCAAATAGGATGCTATAAGAAAGGGACAATGTTCTGAAAAAAGCGCCACCAGTATAATGAACTCAGCCTCAACCATTTATTCATACATGTACCCTTTTCTGCCTTCAAGACAACATAATCTCTCAAAGTTGAGAATAAGTGGGCATTTCAGCGCTTAGCAAGAGTCAGGAATCCCCAAAAAACGTGGGAGTGGAATAATTTCTTGATACTATGACAAGCCAGCAGCAAAACTACTGCTGTGAGGGATTCTAAGCCTCATGATCACACAACAGCGACAGTCCAAGTTGGGGAGTGAGAGGTCTTTTCCTTCTAGAACCTTCCAAGGGACTCAAGAGCAACACCTGCCAGGCTGAGCAGTGAAGGACAGACTCTCCAGTGATGGTAGAGACTTAGGCATGCATACATCTACAGACATGGGAAGGAAGGGGGAGGTTCTGTTGTCTGTTTCTACAAACTGACCATCTGTGACACCGTCCTATCTATGAGTCACCCAACTAATTAAACTACTTCACTTAGTCTAGTCCAGAAAAATGAGAAGGAAGGTGCTCATGATTCCCTCTGTTGGTTTTAATTGTACCATGTATAAATCATTGACTTTGTGAATCTTTGCTCTGTCAGTCTTTCATTTTTCTGTGACAGTTTTTCATTTTCTGTCAGTCTTTTCATTGTTCATTCTCCAAAGAATGTTGCCCCAATTGTTTATTCTTAAATTTGCCTTCTTAAGTCTGAAACCCCATTAAGGCAAGTGACATTTTTTTGTAATGCCACCAGGTAGTCCAGTTATGAGTATTTTGTTTCATGGAATAGTCAGGAGCTACTCAGGCAGCTGGAGACATAAAGAGAAATCAACCCAACAAGAGCAGCCCTGCACAGCACCATGATGGAGTGGGGAAGATGAACGGTATTTGAAGACCGTGGTTCCAACAAGGTCAGAGTGTAAGGAATCATTTTTTGATAACAAGTATTGCCAGATGCAGCAAATAAAAATATAGAACACAGGCCAGGCATGGTGGCTCATGCCAGCAGGCAGGCAGACACTTGAGGTCAGGAATTGGAGACCAGCCTGGCCAACTAGCAAAACCCTGTCTCTACTAAAAATACAAAAAAAAATTAGCCAGGCATTATGGCGCACACCTGTAATCCCACCTACTCAGGAGGCTGAGGCAGGAGAATCACTTGAACCCAGGAAGTGGAGGTTGCAGTGAGCCGAGATTGCGCCATTGCACACTCCAGCCTGGGCAACAGAGTGAGACTCTGTCTCGAAAAATATATGTATAAATATATATGTATATTATATATATACACACATATAACTATTTTTATATATATAATATATATATAAAAAATAGTTTTATAGAGAGAGAGAAAGAACACTCAGTTAAATACAAATGTCAGGTACACCGTGTAATTATTTAGCATAAGTATGTCTCATGCCCTGTTTGGGACACATTCATACTAAAAAGTTATTTGTTAATGATCTGGAATTCAGCCTTCACCAGGAATCCTGCCTTTTATGGGGCAACCATAATGATAACAGTGTGCTCTCCCTGTCTTCCTTTCCCCTGAGCCTCAGCCATAGTTGCCCATCAGAGAGGTTTAAAGATCCTGATGACCAGACCACGTCCCAGCCCAACCAGATAGAATCCCTGGAGGTGGGACCCAGGCTTCTGTATCTTCATCATTCCAAACCTCTGCCAAATTTGAGAACCACTGTCAGACTTCTGGTGTTTAGACTTTTCTTTCAAAGGAAAAGGCAAATGAGCTAGTTTAGAATGAAATCTGAAGGACAATCACCCATGTATCTATAGGCACTTGATTTATGGTAGAGATGACACTGAAGAGCAGGGAGGAAAGAATTCAAAAAGAAAGAAAAGAAGGAAGGGGGGGAGGAAAGAAAAGAAGGAGAAAAACGAAGAAAGGGAGGAAAGAAGGAATGAAGGGAGGGAGGAGGAAGGGAGAGTGGAAGGGAGCATTTCTGCCTCATATCATACATAAAAATCAATCCAGTTGTATTCTAGATTAAATGTGAAAGGCAAAATAGAACGACTTTATAAGATAATATAGAAAGAAGAGAAAGATTTTTTAAAATAAAACATAAAGGCACAAACCATAAAGGAAAAGATTGATAAATATATGGCCACATTAAAATTAAGAATATTTGGTCTTCAAAAGACATCAATAAGAGAATGAAAAGCTAAGCCAGAGAGTGAGACAGGCTACTTGTCATTCATGACCTGTTCATATCCTGAATTTTTTTAAGCCCTACAAATCAACAAGAAAAAGATTCGCCAATAGAAAATAAGCAGTAGACTTACCAAAGACTTCACAAAAGAGGCTATGCGAATGGACAATAAATATGTGAAAAGGTGTGTAACTCCTTTGTAACACAGGAAATGCAAATTAAAACCACTTTTTGAGGTGTCACTATATACCCTGCAGAATCGCTAAAATTAAAAAGAGTAACATGTCAAGTATAGACAAGAATATATATCAAGGATAATTCCGACACACATCTGGAAAGAGTGTACATTGATACAATCATTCTGGAAGAGATAGTCTACTACTAATAATAAGAATCTGACCTGACGCAGTGGCTCACACCTGCAATCCCAACACTTTGGGAGGCCACAGTGGGAAGATTCCTTGAGGTGAGGAGTTTGAAACTAGCCTGGGCAACAAAGCAAGAACCTGTCTCTAAAAAAAAAAAAAATCAGGCCTGGTGGCCCACACATGTAGTCTCAGCTACTCGGCTGCTTGGGAGGCTGAAGTGAGATCACTTGAGCCCAGGAGGTTGAAGCTACAGTGAGCCATGATTGCGCTACTGCCTTCCAGCCTAGGAGACAGAGCAAGATTCTGTCTCAAAAAAACAAGCAAGCAAACAAACAAAAAAACTAATGTAATCTGCTAAAGATGAATATATCTATATACTTTACAACCCTGCAGCTCTAGTCCTGGGTTATAGGTTTAACAGACATGGCTGCATGTGGACATCAGATTTGTACAAGGATATTCATAGCAGGGGACAATCCAAATATCTGTCAACAGTAGAACAGGTGAAAAAAATTGAAGGAGAGTCACACAATGAAATGTATAGCAATGAAAACAAACCACAGCCTCAAACAACAACCTGGATGAGTCACTCACATAAACTTGAGAGAAAGAAGCCAGACACCCAACAAAGTAGGCAAAAATACAGAGCATCAGTATCCACACATAGATGGTAAAAGATAAAGTAAGCAAGGAAGTGACCACCATGAGAGTCTGGAAACTGGTTGCCTTTGGGGAGTAGGCTGGGAGCTGTGATTAGAAAGGGGCACACGGGCGCCTCTAAGGCTGGAGTATTTGCTTTATTATATTTCATTAAGCAGCGTATTTATGATTTACGCACCTTCTTCTTTAAGTGTGCTATATTTCAAAATTAACAAAGTTTTATTTAAAATGATGCTCAGGACAAATTTATATGTCTTCCATGAAGACTTCTTGCACCCCATTCTCTGAGCAAGTTTTGCATAAACCTGCCTCTAAAGTGTTGCCGCTCCCTCCAGGGCCCTGCCCACCACCTTTCACTCCCACAGGTTTTTCAGGTGAATTCTGGTTAAAAATGAATAGTAGTCAAAGCAATCCTTTAAAAACGCAAGTCAAGACATGTCACGCCTTTGCTCAAAATCTTCCCAGATCTCCTCATGTTACTCAGAGGAAAACTCAAGCCTTCCCAATGACCCCTAAAGCCTTCAATGATCTGTGAGCGAACACCAGCTCACCCCTCCGGGCCTCTGCCGTCCTCTGTCCAGCCACACAGGACACGTCTGTGCTTCAAACTGACCACACAGTCTCCCACCTCCCCAGCCACTCCCTCTGTCCACAAAGGTCTCCCCCAGCATTCACATGGCTCCCCTTCTTCTGGCACTTGATCAAATGTCACTTTCTCATGAAAGCTGACCCTAGCCACTTCATTTGGAATCGTTACACCTCCCACTGCATTCCTCATCTCTCTTATCCTGCTTTTTATTCTCCGGTGATACTCATGACTTCTACCTTCTAACATCATTGACTTTCCTACTGGTATTTGTTGCCTATCATTCCCCACTGGAAGGTAAGCTCCATGAAGGCAGGGATTTTTGTCTTTTTTGTTCACTGCTATATCCCCCACACTTAGAAGAGTATCTGGCATGAAGTAGGCATACAATAAATATATGTTGAGAGAGTGAATGAGAGAATGAATGAATGAATGAAAAAATTTATCAAATGCAACTTGGAAAAAGTTAAGAAAAGTAGCTGCCAATAATGGAACGATCTGCAAATTGAAGTGACACAAAGGATGAGATTGTCAAATCAATCTCAGGTGAATTAGAGATTCTGCTCAGTGTCAAGCCTTCCTGGTCATTCTGAGGACACAGGTCATCAAGAGTCAGGGGTCAGGCAGAGAGGTCTGGAAGCAGCCAGGTCCTCTCCACAGCAGATGCTCTCCAGCTGAGATGAGGACATGACCTCTCTAAGTGATCTGTAGAGTTCACGTCACTTACAGCAGAGTTCCATCTCCTATACAGGACATCCATGTTTACTCAGTTTATGTGGTAGAGTCATGCACCATGTGGCAATGTTTTTTGTTTTCGGTTTTTGGTTTTTTGAGATGGAGTCTCACTCTTGTCACCCATGCTGGAGTGCAGTGGTGCGATCTCAGCTCACTGCAACCTCCTCCTCCTAGGTTCAAGGGATTCTCCTGCCTCAGCCTCCTGAGTAGCTGGGATTACAGGCGTGTTCCACAATGCCCGGCTAATTTTTTTTGTATTTTTGGTAGAGATGGGGTTTCAGCAGGTTGGCCAGGCTGATCTCGAACTCCCGACCTCAAGTGATCCACCCGCCTCAGCCTCCCAAAGTGCTGGGATTACAGGAGTGAGCCACTGCGCTCAGCCACCATGTCACAATGTTTTGGTCAACCACAGACCACATATATGACTGAGGTCCTGTAAAATAATGGAGCTGAAAAATTCCTATTGCCTCGTGACGTCATAACCATGGTAACATCAAAGCACAGGGCATGACTCCAGTGTTTGTGGCAAAGATGGTGTCAACAACCCTGCCGTGCTGCTAGCCATATGAAAGTCTAGCTCATGCAGTGATGTTCAGCCCAGAATACTCGATAGTGATAATAAACAACTATGTTGCTGGTTTATGTATTTACGATACTATACTTTTCATTCTTCTTTTACTTTTGAGATGGAGTTTTGCTCTTGTTGCCCAGGCTGGGGTACAATGGCATGATCTCTGCTCACTGCAAACTCCGCCTCCCAGATTCAAGTGATTCTCCTGCCTCAGCCTCCTGAGTAGCTGGGATTACACGCGCACGCCACCACACCCGGCTAATTTTTGAATTTTTAGTAGAGATGGGGTTTCACCTGTTGGTCAGGCTGGTCTCGAACTCCTGACCTCAGGTGATCGACCCGCCTTGGCCTCCCAAGGTGCTGGGATTACAGGCGTGAGCCACCACACCCGGCCTCTTATTTTTAAAACTCTAACTGTAAAACAGCCTCAGGCAGTTCCTTCCAGAGGGATCTCAGAAGAAGGCACTGTTATCATAGGAGATGACAGCTTCCTGCCTGTCACTGCCCCTGAAGACCTGAAGCAGCTAGGGTCAGCTTCCAGGAGAAAGTGATATTTGATCAAGTGCCATCTAGTGGGACAAGGTGTGAAGATGGAAGACAGTGATAATGATGATCCTGACCCTGTGTAGGCTTAGGCTGACATATATGTTTGTGTCTTCATTTGTAACAACAACAACAAAAAAAAAATTAAGGAAAAAATTAAAAATTTTTTAAAATAGAAAAAAGAATAAGAACATACAGAAAGGAAATATTTTTGGACAATTGTACAATACGGTTGTGTTTTAAGCTTAGTGTTATTTCAAGAGTCAAAAATTAAAAAAATTTAAAAATTTATGAAGTAAAAAGGTGACAATAAGCTAAGGTGAATTCATTATTTCATGTAGCCTAACTGTACAGTGTTTGTAAAGTCTACAGTAGTGTGAAGTCATGTCCTAGGCCTTCACTTCACTCACCAATCACTCACAGTTTCACCCACAGCAATTCAGCCCTGCAAGTTCATTTCATGGTAAGTGCCCTCTACGGGTATACCATGTTTATCTTTTAAACTGTATTTTTACTGTATCTTTGTTATGTTTGGATATGTTTTGACATAAATACCATTGTGTTATAATTGCCTACAGTATTCGGTACAGTAATCTGATGTACAAGTTTGTAGCCTAGGAGCAACAGGCTGTACCATTTAGCCTAGGAGGCTGTTCCAGCTAGGGTTGTGCAAGCACACTCAATGATGTTCACACAACAAAACTGCCTACCGATGCATTTCTCAAAAGGTTTTCCTATAGTTAAGGAACTCATGAGTGTATTTTCCAGGGAACTATGCTCCAGAAATGCATACATCCCAGGTCATTTGAAGTGAGAAAATATTGATAGATATTGATAGAAAAAGGGCAACTGGAACAGGCAAATGTTCTGGATCCCACTCAATGTCCCATCTCCTGCTGCCTCCTGTGGCTTCAGTGTCAGGGCACGAGGGTCAAGGGTTGTTGCTCCAAAGAGTTGTGTCCTGGGGATGGCTCTGACTCCCCTGAACAATCTATTAACAATTAAATAATTGTTTAGAGTTTTCCAAAATTGCATATGATTCCACTTTCTGGACAAGACCATATTATGTGTGTTGTCACAATAGGGACATTGGAAACAGTGAAAAAGCAAGTGTGGCGCCAGGCATGACCTTATGTTTGGGTCAACCCCAAATCTTGCAGAGTTCTGATTTGGAAATGTCCTCACGCCATCAGACAATAAAATTCTTTTTTTTTTTTTTTTTTTTTGTGAGATGGAGTCTCACTTTGTCACCCAGGCTGGAGTGCAGTGGTGCGATCTTGGCTCACTGCAAGCTCTGCCTCCCGGGTTCACGCCATTCTCCTGCCTCAGCCTCCCGAGTAGCTGGGACTACAGGCGCCCACCACCATGCCCGGCTAATTTTTTGTATTTTTAGCAGAGACGGGGTTTCACCATGTTAGCCAGGATGGTCTCGATCTCCTGACCTCATGATGCACCCACCTCAGCCTCCCAAAGTGCTGGGATTACAGGCGTGAGCCACCACGCCCAGCCCAAACAATAAAATTCTTGAAGACAGCACAGTGTCTTGTTTTCTTTTGTATCTTTAACTCTTATCAGTGTTTGGCCTTTAAATTGCAGGATAAACGGAGGAAAAGGACAAAACTTCCCTGGGCTGTAAGTGCACTCCTCTGGCCTCCGTGCCCAGGTCCACAGGCCTTAGGTCACAGAGCAATGTTGAATTCTTAGGATGTGAGCTCAGGGGTGACCCAGCTGAGCCATACGCACTCATGCCTCACTACAAAAAATCTCAAACATGCATATGAAGTACCTCTATGTTGGCTGAGGGGGTCCCTAGCAGGGGTCCAGATAGGAGAATTGGTTAGTGGTGCCTCTAGTTAGGACTATAAGCCAAAGCAGGTGATGGGTCACAGGAGCACATACCCCTGCAAACCTCTGGTCATTCCCACCCAAAGAAAAACCTTTCATTCCCTTTAAAACCATATAAAACCTGGGCAAGGCCTCCCAGTACTTCTCCCTTCCATTTGGCTTGGAATCGCCTCAGAGGAGAAGGAATGTGTAGATTGGTGTGAGAAAGAGAGAAAAGAATGAAATTCCTTTTTCTGCCCCTATGTTCAAAGAGGCACAAGCAGCTAGTCCCTGCGCACATTAAAAAGAAATAAAAAGAGAAACACTCCCATGTGTAAGTTGCTCCTTAGCAATGACGCAGCCATTGCTGGGAATGTCCCTAGCTCTTTCAGACATTGGAGTAACCCTTCAGGAGTGATTGCTTCTCCGCACTAATGTTGCCCCAGTGGCAGCTTCAGAAACTGCTCCCTTACCCAGGGGCTCTTAGGCTAATTGTGTCTCAACTCAAGTTACACACAGGCACATTTAGGGCCAGTCTTGGGTTTTTGTGTAGCTGCCACAAAGGTTTAGATCAAACAAACATGATCCCACCAAATACCTGCCTGGGTCCCAATGGATGCCTCAAGCTAGTCTTCATTTCTATGGCTTCAATGTCAATTCTTCCCAAGTTTAAAGGCCACATTCAAGGGTATCATCGTTAGCCTAAAAGTTTACCCTAAAATTAGCCTATTTTTAATTGTCCTGTCTTCCTTACCTAGAATCATGGAGATGAAAGTGTTCCTAGAAATTGAGCCCCCTCTGCTGGGCGCGGTGGCTCACGCCTGTAATCCCAGCACTCTGGGAGGCCAAGGCGGGCGGATCACGAGGTCAGGAGATCGAGACCATCCTGGCTAACACGGTGAAACCCCGTCTCTACTGAAAATACAAAAAAATTAGCCAGGTGTGGTGGCAGGCGCCTGTAGTCCCAGCTACTCGAGAGGCTGAGGCAGGAGAATGGCGTGAACCCAGGAGGCGGAGGTTGCAGTGAGCTGAGATCGCGCCACTGCACTCCAACCTGGGAGATGGAGCAAGACTCCGTCTCCAAAAAACAAAAGAAATGCGCTCCCTCGTTCTACCCCACCATTATATGAATGAGGACACGGAAGCTCACTCGAAGAGCTAACATGGCTCACCTGGTATCTCAGAATAAATGGGTGGCCAAGCCAGCCACAGGCAGGCCTGTGGCTTCTTATTCCCTCTCCAAGGCTCTTGCTACTGTGAATGCCTTGGCTTCGGTGTAAATAAATTGAATGAGGTATTTCCTAAGAGCAGAGTGAGGGGGATGGCGAGTAAGTGGGTATTGGATTCCTAAAGTAGGCAGAAAGGCACAGAGAAAATGAGTAGACCCAACTCACAAATGTTGCCTGCGGCTAGACCTTTTTACATTTAATATACGATGATAATAATAATAGATCCACTCAGCCACTCTTTTCTTCCGAGGGACCAAATTCACCTGCGCTTTTCAATGGTCAGATAGGAATGATATTCGGGGGCAATGACATTCCATATACATTTTGCCCTTGACGTCCCAGGGTACGCCTTCCTTGAGGGTTATAATTCTTTAGCTGACTTCGAGTCTACTCCTGGTTCTCACACCAATGACTTACACCCAAGAGTGTATATCTATTATAATTGCTACCTAAAGAGAATAAGAATTACAGATAAGTAATTTTCTTTTTCTAATCTAACCCCCTGGAGGCATTTTAGTAGGCGATGACAGGCATTTCTGCTATAATTTATACAATTTCATTTTTCTTAATCATGGATTTTAGTTCTCTTACGTCACCTGCTTGAAATGAAGCAGAACTTTTTGGTCGCTGCTTTTACATTTATAGTCTCACTTGCAAAGTGTTTAAAATGTCCACACAATTATGAGAAATTCAGATTAGCATCTTCTCTGAAATGGCTTTCTCCTAATTGCCTCCAAATCCTCTTAAAACAATTTATAAAGTCTGAATTTAAGTGCTTCGGTGGGACACTGTATTTCGAGTACTTAAGTGAAAAGTTAATAAGTGGACATTTACAGCTATTTGCCTTGGCAGATAAATTGGTGATTAAGAATGTATATCTAAAATCATTTGTATGGTACAACATAAAAGAAAATTTAGGAAATGTTGAGGAGTGGGTTTGGGTAATTCATTTTTGTGGTTCTCATCTTTTTTTTTTTTTTGGTTCTCATATCTAACACAATGCCTGATGCGTGAAAATATGTCAGTAAATTTTGGTGATTTGCGTTTAATGTATTTAAGATGTCATCAAATAATGCAACATTCTGATAACACCTTTCAACCTCCCACCCACTCCTTCAAAGCCAATTCAGTGCAGCCGGTCCTAAGGAATCCAAGTCAAAGCAGTGCTCCCCAGTGCACAGAGTCCAGACGTTCTCATACAACCCAATATCATCTAAGATCCAGAACTGTGGGTGGCAACATCATTGATGGATCATCAGATCTGTCTACGTGGTTATTAAACAAGATTTTGTTGGAATCGAATGCAATAATATAGAATGGAATGAAAATGAACAGAACACATCTCCCACGGTAAGAGAAAGCACTGTTCTGTGAAATTATTTATTTCCCTGTGTACAATGGGCTAGTTTATGCTATAAAATGTATTTCTTCCTTTGATTCAAAACAAGTTTGAAAACCGCTATAGGAGGTTGAATAGAGTCTCCCAAAATGACATGTCCATATTCTAATCCCTGGAACCTATGAATGGGACCTCATGTGGAAAAAGGTTCTCTGTGGATGTGATTAAGATAAGGGTCTCAAGATGACTAGATCATCCTTGATTATATGGGTGAGACCTAAATCCAATGACACATGTCCTTATAAGAGAAAGACAGAGGGAGATATGAGATAGGCTGCAGAGAAGGAAGCAATGTGATCACAGAGGCAGAGACTGGTGTGGTGTGCACACAAGTCAAGGGATACCTGGAGCCACCAGACGCTGGAAGAAGCAAGGAAGGATCCTCCCCTAGAGCCTGTGGAGGGAGTACGGGCATGCAGACTTCTTGATTTCAGACTTCTAGCCTCCAGACCTGTGATAGAATAAACTTCTGCTGTGTTAAGCTACCCAGTTGCTGGTAATTTGCTGCAGCAGCAACAAGAAACAAGAAATATAGTCACTGATCAAAAAAAGACAAAAATTCTAGGTGTTTACAACAACTCCAGAATCAGTCTTATCCCAAACCAGTCTCCACCAAAATCCCAAGGTTACCCAAAACATGAAATTCATTCTAGTCTAAAGTTCACCAAGATTTTTTATAAGTCTTGCCTTTTATGAGAAGCCTAAATATCTGAGGACCCACAATCTGATACAGCTCCAGGAAAGGAAAAAGAACCCCACACACTCACACGCAGTCATCAAAACAAAATAAAGACAATCCTCAGCCTGTTCTCATCTGACAAGGAAATTTTATGCAGCTTAATTTTCTATGAAGCTATTATTTTGTTTAATTTTCCTAGGATAAATTTATAATAATAGCAATGCTTCTTCAAACTCAAAGGATGGACTGAAAAATCACTATTTCAGACTTTTCCCTAGCCACTAGGGCCAGCCGAAAAAGGGAACTTGGCAAGGATGACAAAAGATGGCTCATTTCATAACAATATAATTGTCAATCCTCACTATATTCTTTCCCAGATTGACAAAAAGGAGTGTTATGTCTAGAGATGTAGGTATATTATACATGAGCCTTTAGCAACTGTAAGCTATCCAAGCTGCATGGAATATAATTCAAGCCTGATAAAGGGGAATTATAGGTACTTATAACAAATCTATTGTAGTCTTCGTATCAGCTGTAATTAGTGTTACGAATTACCAACTACCAACCATAGCTTAAAGCAATTGACTTTGTTTTTCCTCCAGCTTTACATGAGGACCTTTGTTCATGTCATTTGAAGTAAGCAACATCTACGTGAAAAACACAAGAGGCAAGACATCCCAAATTTTGTTCACTCAGTCATCATCTTTCCATTTTAATGTGAATTACTCTTTACACTAGTACTAGAACACCTAGTACAATGCTTTGCACATAAGTCACTCAATAAGTACACTGAACCTAAATGAATTATGTACTTTGAGAAGGCAGTAAAAACTAGATGTTTGGTTTAACTATCAAGTGGGAAAAAATAGAAGTGGACATATGAATAATTGTGACAAAAACCAACAACTAGCTCATTGCATTTCTGACCAGTGTGCCCTTTTCCCCTTACATTTAAAGGGAAGGGAAGGGTAGGGGAGGGGAGGGAAGGGGTAAGGAGGGAAAGATTAAAGGAAGAAAAGGAAAAAAGACAGATCAAGACAACCAAGATTTTCAAACTTCATGTGCCCCCACTAATAATAAACTGGTTGAATTTCAAACCTCTCATCAACCATAATCCCTTCAATCCCCAGCAAGCCACAGCAAATAGAAATCCACTGGACTCTTTCAGGCCTTGCAAAGACAAACCACTGTTCATCAAAGATATGTTGACATTGATGAATTGCTCACCTCATACTCATGACACTGTCTGTGAAAGTGATTTGTGTACATTAGGGTGCACATTAGGATAACACAGGAAGCCCTCAGGAGTGAACCAAGACAGAGAAGAGAATGGATGGCTGGTGACAGGAAGCTCCAAGAGTGGGTCAGAATGGGGTAATCACAGTGGCATCTGGAGTCCAGAGGGAGGCTACCTGCACAGGTGGCAGAATTCGGTGCAGCCTTTTCTAAAATTAATATTCCTTTGCCTTTCTGGGCAAATAGACTACTACAAAATTACGGAAACAACCCTATATTTGAACATGCCGCTGATTAGCTCTACCCTTGAACAGGTGACTTAACTTCTTTCAGCCCCAATTTTTCCCTTCAGTGAAATTATGATAGCAACAAGCTTCAGGTTGGTGATTATTCGTTACTTAACGTCCGTTAGTGCGCTGGGCACAGTAATTGATAAGATACTGTGTCCGGAATTGGTGGGTTCTTGGTCTTGGCTGACTTCAAGAATGAAACCACAGCCCCTCGCAGTGAGTGTTACAGCTCTTAAGGTGGCGCGTCTGGGGTTTGGTCCCTCTGATGTTCGGATATGTTCGCAGTTTCTTCCTTCTGGTGAGTTCATAGTCTGGCTGGCTCAGGACTAAAGCTGCAGACCTTCAGACCTTCGCTGTGCGTGTTACGGTTTTTTTTTTTTTTTTTTTTTTTTTTTTTTGAGACGGAGTCTCGCTCTGTCGCCCAGGCCGGACTGCGGACTGCAGTGGCGCAATCTCGGCTCACTGCAAGCTCCGCCTCCTGGGTTCACGCCATTCTCCTGCCTCAGCCTCCCGAGTAGCTGGGACTGCAGGCGCCCGCCACCGCGCCCGGCTAATTTTTTGTATTTTTAGTAGAGACGGGGTTTCACCTTGTTAGCCAGGATGGTCTCGATCTCCTGACCTCATGATCCACCCGCCTCGGCCTCCCAAAGTGCTGGGATTACAGGCGTGAGCCACCGCGCCCGGCCGTGTCATGGTTCTTAAGGCGGCGCGTCTACAGTTGTTTGTTCCTCCCAGGGGGCTGTGATCTCGCTGGCTTCAAGAGTAAAGCTGCAGACCTTCACGGTGAGTATGACAGCTCATAAAAGCAGTGGGGACCCAAAAGTGAAAGAACAAAGCTGCCACAGTGCAGAAGTAGATCCCAGCGGCTTGCCAGTGCCGGCTCGGCAGCCTGCTTTTATTCTCTTATCTGGCCCCACCCACGTCCTGCTGATTGGTAGAGCCGAGTGGTCTGTTTTGACAGGGCGCTGATTGGTGCGTTTACAATCCCTGAGCTAGACACAAAGGTTCTCCACATCCCCACCAGATTAGTTAGATACAGAGTATGGACACAAAGGTTCTCCAAGGCCCCACCAGAGTAGCTAGATACAGACTGTCCATTGGTGCATTCACAAACCCTAAGCTAGACACAGGGTGCTGATTGGTGTGTTTACAAACCTTGAGCTGGATACAGAGTGCCGATTGAGCTGGATACAGAGTGCCGATTGGTGTATTTACAATCCCTGAGCTAGACATAAAGGTTCTCCAAGGCCCCACCAGATTCAGGAACCCAGCTGGCTTCACCCAGTGGATCTGGCACCGGGGCTGCAGGTGGAGCTGCCTGCCAGTCCCGCGCCGTGCACCCGCACTCCTCAGCCCTTGGGTGGTCGATGGGACTGGGTGCCGTGGAGCAGGGGGTGGCACTAGTCGGGGAGGCTCAAGCCGCACAGGAGCCCATGGAGGGTGTGGGAGGCTCAGGCATGGCGGGCTGCAGGTCCTGGGCTCTGCCCCGCGGGAAGGCAGCTAAGGCCGAGTGAGAAATTGAGTGCAGCGCCGGCGGGCTGGCACTGCTGGGGGACCCAGTACACCCTCCACAGCCACTGGCCCGGGTGCTAAGCCCCTCATTGCCCGGGGCCGGCAGGGCCGGCTGCTCCGAGTGCGGGACCCGCCAAGCCCACGCCCACCCGGAACTCCAGCTGGCCCGCAAGCGCCGTGCGCAGTCCCGGTTCCCGCTCGCGCCTCTCCCTCCACACCTCCCTGCAAGCTGAGGGAGCCGGCTCCGGTCTTGGCCAGCCCAGAAAGGGGCTCCCAGGATGCAGCGGTGGGCTGAAGGGCTCCTCAAGTGCCGCCAAAGTGGGAGCCCAGGCAGAAGAGGCACCGAGAGCGAGCGACGGCTGTGAGGACTGCCAGCACGCTGTCACCTCTCAATACCGCACTCAATAAAATTTTACAATTTTGTAAGTGTAATCCTGTACTCAGCTGCCCAGGGATCACTGTAGCCTAGTAGCATCTAGAAAAAGGTGTATTACTAAGTTAAGTTTCCTTCAAACACAAATTAGTACGTTTCTTCAGTGAGGATAAAACTGAAAAACCAGGTTTCCTCCAGCCCAGCCTTCAGGCTCCACCAGCTTTATAAACAAGGACCCCTAACACTGCCTCTCAACTGCTCAAAACCTCAGAGGGGCCAGGCGCGGTGGCTCACGCCTGTAATCCCAGCACTTTGGGAGGCCGAGGCAGGCGAATCACCTGAGGTCAGGAGTTTGAGACCAGCCTGGCCAACATGGTGAAACCCCGTCTCGACTAAAATACAAAAATTAGCCAGGCATGATGGCATGTGCCTGTAGTCACAGCCACTCAGGAGGCAGAGGTGAAACAATCGCTTGAACCTGGAAGGTGGAGGTTGCAGTGAGCCGAGATTGCGCCATTGCACTCCAGCCTGGGCAACAGAGCAAGACTTCGTCTCAAAAAATAAAAAAATTAAAAAAAAAAAAACCCTCAGAGGTTCAGAGGCTTCTCACCTTCCATTTCATTGGGATTTCATTCAAGGCAGTGCAGTAGACCAGAAAGAGCTTGTACTTAAGAGTCGGTGGCTCACGCCTGTAATCCCAGCCTTTGGGAGGCTGAGGTCAGGAGATCGAGACCATCCTGGCTAACATGGTAAAACCCCGTCTCTACTAAAAATACAAAAAATTAGCCAGGCGTGGTGGCCGGTGCCTGTAGTCCCAGCTACTCGGGAGGCTGAGGCAGGAGAATGGCGTGAACCCGGGAGGCGGAGGTTGCAGTGAGTCGAGATCGTGCCACTGCACTCCAGCCTGGGCGACGAGCGAGACTCTGTCTCAAAAAAAAAAAAAAAGCGTCAGTCAAAACTAGCTTTAAATGCTAGTCCTGCCACTTGGGAAGAGGCAATCTCCAGCAAGTCCTTTAACTTCTCTACACCTCAGTTTCCCCAACTGCAGAAAAGCAACAATAACACTTTACAAAAAGGAAATAACAAAAGGGAGAAATAAACTTATTTGGGGACAGTAGTTTTAGGGGTTGAAAACTATGACATTCTCACAAGCAACTCTCAATACATGCTGCAAAGTAGGCACTCAATAAATTCAAACGTTTTCTTTCTTTTCTAGCCTTATTCCAAACCTCACATCATTTTATCCTGTGTCCCACCTCAAACCAAGGGCTCCCTTTCAAAGCCTGCACCATGGCACCTTGGCAGCACTCGCTCTGTGCATTCTGCCTGGAGTGCTGTTCTCCATCCCTAAATATCTGAATCCTACCCAGTCTTTGAGACAAGTTAAACAGCACCATTCCCACAAAGCCACCCTTCTGCCCAGCAAAAACAATACTCCTCTTTCTGAGCTTCCTAACCTTTGTCTTTGAGCTTCTTGCAACTCTTCACTTTGTGTTTGCAGTCATCACAGCTCTAAGGCCTATATCCCCCCAAAAGCAAATTTTCTAAGGGTGCAGTCTCCATTTATACCTTCTTTCAGAATCAGTGCCTTACAGGCCTGGTGCATCTCAAGCACTTGAAAAATATTTTTGAGTAAATAAATCAATAACAAATTATGTGCATTCAAAGAAAATTTTATATGAAATATCTATGCTCAATTAACAAATAAGAAATTTAGGCCAGGCGTGGTGGCTCACGCCTGTAATCCCAGCGCTTTGGGAGGCCAAGGCAGGCAGATCACGAAGTCAAGAGATCCAGACCATCCTGGCCAACATGGTGAAACCCCGTCTCTACTAAAAATACAAAAATTAGCTAGGTGTGGTGGTGCGCACCTGTAGTCCCAGCTACTTGGGAGGCTGAGGCAGGAGAATTATTTGAACCCAGGAAGCGGAGGTTGCAGTGAGCCGAGATTGTGCCACTTCACTCCAGCCTGGCGACAGAGCAAGACTCCGTCTCAAAAAAAAAAAAAAAAAAAATTAGATTAACTCTCCAGACTAAGCCAGAGATTCTCTGTCTTCTTCCATTGTACTATATATGTGTAAATAAAGTAATTTGCATGTGTTTCCCAGCAAGCTTAAGAAGATATCTAATATGGTTTGTTTCTGTGTCCCCACCAACTCTCATGTTGAATTGTAATCCCCAATGCTGGAGATGAGGCCTGGTGAGAGGTGATTGGGGATGGATACATGGGGACATTGGGGACGGATTCCTCATGAATGGTTTAGCTCCATCCCCTTGGTGCTTTCCTCAAAACAGTGAGTTCTCATCATTTAAAAGTGTGTGGCACCTCCCACATCTCTCTCTTGCACTTGTTCTAGTCATGTGACATGTCTGCTCCCCATCCACCTTGCACCATGATTGTAAGTTTCCTGAGGGCTCCCCAGAAGCCAAGTAGATGCCAGCATCATGCTTCCTGTACAGCATGCAGAACTGTGAGCCAATTAAACCTCTTTTCATTATAAATTACCCAGCCTCAGCTATTTCTTTATAGCAGCATGAGAATGGACCAACCCAGTATCCAATACCTGCTTTCAATATTCCAAACATTTTAAGGCCCTTCATTTTCTGTAAAAAGCAAATGAATTTAATTGTGCTACTTTCTAGCATTGACAGCTTTGGGGCTTTGTGTAACAGAAATCAAAGCAATTAGTTATTTCATTAATTTGATGGTGGAAAATTTATCAAAAATATCACCTGTCTTTGTGTACACTAGTGAATTGACTGAAGTTTTTTCTCTTTTAATTTGTTTAGGGTCATATAAATGACACATCAAACATAACTAAATAATCCAGCTTCCTGAAAATGCATCTCTATAAATCCTCTAAAATTTGTTTAGTTTTTAAAAAATCTTTAGCACTTTAAAAAAGCTAATTAGCCAGGCACAGTGGCTTAAACTTGTAATCCCAGCACTTTAGAAGGCCAAGGCAGGTGTGTCACTTGAGCTCAGGAATTCAAGACCAGTCTGGGCAACATGGCAAAACCCTATCTCTACAAAAAATTACAAAAATTAGTCGTGCATGGTGGCATGAGGCTGTAGCCCCAGCTACCTGGGAGGCTGAGGTGAGAGGATTGCTTGAGCCCAGGAGGCGGAGGTTGCAGTGAGCCAAGATCATGCCACTGCACTCCAGCCTGGGCAACAGAGCCAGACTTCATCTCAAAAACAAACAAACAAACAAACAAATAATCAAAAAGTGAACTCCTTACTAAGGACAATGCAAAGAATAAGCTAAGTTATGTGTAAGGTCAATGATGCCTCATGCTTGCACACTGCCTTAATATATTTTCTCTTTGCCATGCAAAGAGTCTGTGTCTTGGGAAACAGAAACTAAACCTAATGCATTGTTACTCTGGCTGCCACTTTGTTCAGGATTTAGAGACAGCCCATTGATAGACAATCACACAACTGTGAGGTTTTTCACAGATATATTATGATTTATGTATCCTGCATAAGGGAAGAATGTTACATTCTGATGATGAAGACACTACCTGCCTGAAATCTAACCCTGTCTTGTTCTCTAACCTGTAACAAAACCTTGCACCTGTCTTTTGAAATTCAGGGCACAATATTTTCTCCATTGTATAAGAATATTTTGAAAGCTGATTTTTTAAAATATAGAGCATTTTGAAAGAAAGTGATCTTTATACTGATAAACCTCTGAGACATTTAATGGCCAATATCAGTTTATCAATTCTGCTCTCCATGACGTTAAAATGCACCCTAACCTCTTCTTCATTGATATAAGCGTTTTCTACTAAACAAATTTGATGACAATGTAGCAGGTTACCCAACATGACAGACCACAGGATTAAACTACACACCTATCAGCAAAATTTTAAAACAAAAAAAATAAAAACTAGAAGCTGACTAAAATAACTAAATTGAAAATTCACTAGAGAAGTTCAAAAGCAGACCTGACCAGGCATAATAAAGAATCACCAAGCTTGAAGACAAATCACTTGAAATTGCTGAGTCTGAGAAACAGAAAGAAAAAAGAATGAAGAAAGGGAACAGAGCCAAAAGGACTTATGGGACACCATCAAGAGGACGAGTATGAAAGTTCAGAAGGAGAAAAGAGAGAGAGAAAAGCAGAAATCATTTGGAGAAGCGATGGCTAGAAACTTCCCAAATTTGAGAAAAGACATGTAGTTACAAAGAATCTCTGCAAATTCCAAGTAGGATAAACCCAAAAAGACCCACACTCAGATACATTATAATCAAACTTTAGATACTAAAGAGAAAGAGACAGTCTTGAAAGCAGCAAAAGAAAAGTGATTGATCACATATAAGAGGCCCTCAATAAAATTATTGGTGGATTTCTCAAGAGTAACCTTGCAAGCCAGAAGGTAGTGGTGCAATATATTTAAAGTGCCGGGGGGGGGAATCATCAACTAAAAATTCTATATTTGGCAAAGCTGTCCTCCAAAAGTGAGGGAAAAACCAAGACATGTTAAGATAAACAAAAAGCTGAGGTCATTCATTACCACTAGACCTGCCCTACAAGAAATGCCAAAGGGAATCCTTCAAATTGAAATGAAAGGATGCTAGACAGTAAATCAAAGCCATCTGAAAATATAAAATTCTCCGGTAAAAGTAAATACATGAAGTAAATACATATAAGAAACAGTATGATTTTAATTTTGGCTGTAATTTCACTTTTTATTTTCTATAGGATTTAGAAACAAATTCATAAAAATAATTGTAAATGATAATGGGTACATAATACATAAAGATGTAATTGATGACATTGATAAGATAAAGTTGATGAACTGAACTATAAGAGAATAGAGATTTTATATACAATTGAAGTTAAGTTGGTTTTAATTTAAAATACATTGTTATAACTTTAGAATGTTACAAGTAGTCTTCATGGTAACCACACATAAAATATCTATAGAATATACACAAAAGAGGCAGGGTATGATGGCTTATGCCTGTAATCCCAGCACTTTGGGAGGCTGAGACGGGTGGATTATGAGGTGAGGAGTTCAAGACCAGCCTAGCCAAGATGTTGAAACCCTGTCTCTACTAAAAATATAAAAATTAGCCGGGCATGGTGGCAGGTGCATGTAATCCCAGCTACTCAGGAGACTGAGGCAGGAGAATCGCTTGAATCCAGGCAGCAGAGGTTGCGAGCTGAGATCACACCACTGCACTCCAGCCTGTGCTACAGAGTGAGACTCCATTTCAAAAATAAATAAATAAATAAAATAAAAAAAAATTTAAAAACAATATACACAAAAGAAAATGAGAAGGGAATGAAAATGAGTCATTACAAAAAACACTAAGGAAGGCAGGAAATGAGGGGGAAAAAAGCTATTAGACATGCGGAAAACAATTACTAAAGTGGCAAATGTAAGTCCTTTCATGTGAGTAATTACTTTAAATGTAAATGGATTAAAATCCTCAATCAAAAGACATAAATTAACAGAATGGAGTAAATAAAAAAAAAAAAAACAGGACTCAACTATCAACTCCCTATAGGAGACTCACTTTAGATCTAAAGACATGTACAGGTTAAAAGTAAAAAGATGAAAAAGACATTCCATACAAATAGTAACCAAGAAAGATCAGGAGTGGCTATACTGGGATCAGAACAATATTGACTTTTAGTCAAACACTGTTACAAGAGACAATGAAGGACATCATATAATGATAAAGAGTGATTTCACCAAAATACATAACTATTATAAACATGTATGCACCAAACATCAGAACTCCAAAATATATGAATGAAATATTGGCAGCTTAAAGGAAGAAATAGATCTACAATAACAGTAGGAGACTTTGCTACCCTACTTTCAATAATAAATACACCAGTCAGATAGAAAATCAGTAAGGAAATACAAACATTTAAAGGCGCTGAAAATATTTTACCTCAAAATATGCCGTTTGTATTTTGAGAAGGCTATACACAGGGACTGCAAACACAAGAACAGCCTGCAAAGCTGTCTACTGAGGGGAAAGGTTACATCTGTAGAGGAAATAAAATGAAGTAAATAACAGATGCAAATAAGCTTTCTCTGAGACACTCCCCCCTTATCCAGATCTAGAAAAGATTAACTGAGAGTTTTAAACCTTTAAAGGTATTTGCTAACTGATAAGCAAATACCAAGGCTACCATTCATTCTTTCTGAGTGCTGATCCCTGTGACGTTTCATCTCCTTAATAAGATTACCTTTGCCCCATGCCTTTCGTCCTCTTTTCTCCCTCCCATAACCTGGCTTGGCACCATAACCTGTTTTGCCATCTTCCTCCAAGCCCCCATTCTTTCCGTAACCTCAAGAAGGTTTAAAAGCATCAACCATCTGGTCATTTCTTTGAGGTTTTCCTATTTTGTATGACTTCCATGCCCAAATGCACATTAATATATTTGTATGCTTTTTTCTGTTACTCTATTATCAGTTTGTTTTAAAGGCTCAAGTTAACCCTTCATAGGAAAATTTTAAACTTCCCTTAACTTGAATAACACTATGCACCAACTAGACCTAAAATATACAGAGCACTCCACCCCACACAGCAAAATACACATTTTTCTCAGGTGCACATGGGGAATTCTTCAGGATACACCATGGGCTAGAGCATAAATATGTCTTAATAAATTATAAAAGATTGAAATCAAACAAACTATCTTTTCCAATACAATACGATGACACTACAAATCAACAGCAGAAGGAAAACTGAAAAATTCACAAATCTGTGGAAATTAAACAACATACTCTTAAACAAGCAATGAGTCAAAGAATAAATCACAAGTGAAATTAGAAAATATCTTGAAATAAATAAAAATGAAAACACAACATATCAAAATTGATGAGCTAGGGCAAAAGCAATAATAAGAGGGAAGTTATAGCTATAAATGCTTACACTAAAAAAGAAGATCTCAAATCAACAATCTCATTAAACCCAAAGCCTACATTACCAAGTAAATAATAAAGATTAGAGCAGAGATAAATAAAATAGGGGACAGAAAAACAATAGAGATAATCAACAAAACCAAGAGTTTGTTCTTTGAAAAGATCAACAAAATTGACAAAGATTTAGCTATATTGGCTAAAAGTAAGAGAGAAGTATCAAATAACTAAAATAAGAAACAGAAAAGGAGACATTAATTCAATTTTACAGAAATAAAAAGAATTATAAGTGTACTATAAATAATTGTATACCAACAAACTGGAAAACCTAGATGAAGTGGAAAAATTTCTAGAAACACAGTCCCTCTCCCCGACTACAAATCTCATTGCACTGGTCCCGATACTTATTGTGATGGTCCTGAATGAAGTGTTTTTTACCAGGCTTTAGCAAGTATCATTAAATATTTTTTTATTTAACAAGGCAAAAAACATATACACTAAAAATATAAAACGTTGATGAAAAATAAAAGAAAGTATAAATAAGTGAAAAGACAACCTATATTATGGAAGTCATATTTTAAGATGTCTATACTATTCAAAGCAACTTATAAATTTAATACAATCTCTGTCAAAATCCCAATGATGTTTTATGCAAAAACAGAAATTTGCGTTTTAAAATTCATATGGAATCTCAAGAAAGCTTGAATGACAGTCAAAGCAGTCTTTAAAAGGAAGAACAAAATTGGAAGTCTCACACTTCCTGATTTCAAAGCCTACTACAAAGTTACAAAAATCCTAACAGTGTGGTACTGGAGTAAAGACAGATATATAGACCAATAGAACAGAACAAAGAGCCCAGAAAAATAACTCCCACATACATGGTTTAGTTATGTTTAACAAGGGTGCCAAGTCCATTTAATGGGGAAAAGACAATCTTTTCAACAAATAGTGCCAGGAAAACAGATATCCAGATGTAAAGAATGAAATTGGATGTTTACTTTATACTATCTCCAAAAATTAACTCAAAATAAATTAAATACCTAAACATGACAGCTAAAATAATCAATATTTACAGAGCATTCTGCAAAGAAAAGACAAAAGTTTTAGAGAATGTGACTATAAAGAAGTCATATGTGGGAGTTTGAGGGTTTATAAAGCAGTTTTCATATGATTGTGGTGATGGTTATATGAATGTATACATGTGTTAAAATATATAGAACTATATACACCAAAAAACAAGTCAATAAAATTTTTTTTCAGTAACATAGATCCCCATGTTTCATCTATGTCCATCTTATCCATTTTCTCCTAGTCATAGAATCCATATCTAAGCCCTCTCCATTGGCCACTGGAGTGATACTTGCACTTTTCCAGGATAAGAGAATAGCTAATAACCAACTTCACATGTTAGGCAAACACTCAACAACATCTTTAAGCAACTGAAGAAAGTTAATGTGCATTACATGTGTGAAAAGGCATTCCACTTTTGGTCTCTCCTAGCTCTATCATTGATCTCCCCTTAGCTTCAGGAGAAGTATGAAGCCAGTAAATATTAACCACCAAACATAGGCCAGAAGCTCCATGTACCAGACTATGTCTCTTGTCAGCTCCTTCTGAGAAATAATCAGACCTACATTTAATATACTTGTAACAATAGCAAAGTGCCTCCGGGATATGATGTGAAAAGTATAAGTCAGAAATCATTTTTGCTTTATTTATTATGCTGTCATTTACTATCATGTGGTAAAGGCCAAAGAATCTAATTCCCTTTGCTACTGCGATTATAGCAGCTTGCCTTTTTTATGCAGATTTCATGTTTAAACAATGCTTACCTGGGCTCTCCTTGTAACCCAATGTTGCTGATCTGGTCTTCCCACTGTCAATACAATCTGAGTTCTCACATGGGGAAAAGTGAATTCAACCCAAGTCACCTTGCTTTTACCTTGTCATCTTTTTTGGGTGTCTTCCTAAGATAAAATTGGAATATAGAATATATCTTATATGAATATGTTTGCCTCTATGTCTTTCACTATATGTATTTTAAACATACTTATGTTATTTAGATGTTGACAATGCGATACCAGGCCATACAGACTCAAGAGAAAAAAATCAATAATAGTGATCCTGTATTTAAAATGCTCATATTCTCTTCATCATAATTTTTTGCATAAATTTTAATTTTTTAAAATATTGTCCTGAAATATTCTCTTAATTACCGAGGTTTTTGGCAGCTCCTTAAATTTTGCAGCTGAGGCAAGTGCCTTACTCCTCTCACCCTAGCCCTGGATGACAGTACCAAAAATTTAAATGAAAAGTAATGGAATTTCCTTAAGAAACAATTCAGAAGACTGAGAAATATGCCTTATTGATTTGGCCATTCAGAATTGGGTTTTACCAACTGTATTAGGTTCCTAGGGTCACTGTAAGAAAATACCACAAATTGGGTGGCTTAAAACAACAAAGCTTATTGTTTCACAGCTCTGGAAGGGTCTGAGATCAAGGTGTCAGCAAGGCCATGCTGTCTCTGAGGGCTCTAGGGAAGACTTCTTGTCTCTTTCCAGCTTGTATTGGTGGCTGTCAATCTCTGGAGCTCCCTGACTTGCAGTTGTATCCTTCCACTCTCTGCCTCTTCTGCCTCTGTCACATCATCTTGTTTTTTGTTTTTGTTTTTGGTTTTTTTCTGGAGACAGAGTCTCACTCTATCCCCCAGGCTGGAGTGACGTGACACGATCTTGGCTAACTGCAACTTCCACCTCCTGGGTTCAAGTGATTCTCCTGTCTTGGTCCCCCGAGTAGCCAGGACTACAGGTGCACACCACCACACCCGGCTAATTTTTGTATTTTTAGTAGAGACAGGGTTTCACCATATTGGCCAGGCTAGTCTCGAACTCCTGACCTCAGGTGATCCACCCACCTCGGCCTCCCAACGTGCTGGGATAACAGGCGTGAGCCACCGCGCCCGGCCACATCATCTTCTAAAGACACCAGGCACACTGGATAGAGATTCTACTCTACTTCAGTAGGAACTCTTCCTATTAGGTTAATAACAGTTTTTGCCATTATTTTTAATGGCAAAAACCTCAATTATATTTGCACAAACCTAATAATTAAATCTGTAGCAACCTATTTCCCAATAAGTTTACATCCTGAGGTACTAGGAGTTAGGACTTAAACATATACTCATAGAGGACACCATACAACCCATAACACCAACCAAAACAGTTGATGATTTGATGATTCAAGTTGCTTGTGTGAGATTTGTGTGGGGCGTGACTTTACATTGGTAACAAATAAACTAGCTGCACTCTGCCTTTTCAAATGACCAGTGTCCTCCCTTTAACCTCCCTCCTATCCGCTTGATTCTCCTTCTCCTCTGTGCCTGCTTGCTGCCTGCTACCTACCTGCCTATCCTCTTCCACTCTGTTCTTACCCACAGCACAGCTACTAATCTCCTGTCTCTTCCCAGTTCCATGTTGCTTGCCACCCACATCCAATTGTCCCCCATGGGTAAAGATCTGGAGGCTAAATATCCATTGATCTTCAACCAGCTCCTTCCAGTCCTCATTCAATTAATCTGAGACTCCTACTCAACTCATCTGCCTACGCCTTGCTAAAGCCTGGTCCTGGACCTCATGTGAGGTGATTCCCATACACCATAGTCATTTCCTAATGGCTATTTCCCTCATTGCATGAGAAAAGTCTCCAAAGCCCCTACTCTGAGCTACTATCAGACTCAGGATTCCATCGTGTAGAGGGGGACCAGAGCAGAGAGACGGTGGACACAGAAAAGGCAGCATTTGTCTCTCACCTCCACACACTGGCATTCTATTCTTTTTGGGCAGCCACCACCTTAGAGCAGTAAACCATTTGTTTAATCACTTTGCTTTTCTCTGACTGCTAGTAATGAAATGCTGCACTCCCTGAAATAATTTCCTGACTATTTGCTAAGATTCATCTCTGACATTTCATTAAATATGATCATTTAACTGTACAAGTACAAATGCATTTTTAATTTAGCTTACTGCAGATATTACAGATGTGGGGAAATGAATTCCTATTGCTCTAGGACAAATATATCATTCACATATGCATGCCACAAAAGAACAAATTATTAAAAATTACTGAAACTTCCATGAAGATTTATATTTAACTTTTCCATTTTCAATCTCTATGTCATTTTGAAAACACATAGCATGTCACTTTGTCAGTCATGATTCTATGTAGAATGTGTGGGTGGGTCCACAAGGATCTTGATCAATAGCCTCCAACTCTGTCGTTGACACACGGTGTGGAACTAAAACAGATGGAAATTGAGTTTCAAATGTGAAGTTAGGAGGTTAGCAGTCTTATCACTATGCAGTAGGCTATTTGCCTTCTCTACAAAAGAAGACAGCAATAGGAAGTGTATCTTCTATCCCATGTACTATAAATCCAACTGTAATTTATGCTAAAGTTTCATTTTATAGAAAAGTACACAAAGTGTAAGTTAACGTTCTTGAATGTCTTCTTGGTACATAATTGCCATTGGATTCAAAACTGACTGATGAAAAGACAAGGTTGGCTTCCAGCCTTGAGCTATGAAACCTAGAACTTACAAGTCATAAGCTGACAATTACAGACGGTCCCTGATTTATGGTGGTTTGACTCAGGATTTTTCGACTTTACCGTGGTGCAAAAGCAGTAAGATTTTTCAGCAGAAACCATACTTCAAATTTTAAATTTTGGTCTTTTCCCTGGCTAGTGACATGCAATACGATACTCCCTCATACTGATGTTCTGAATATATTTAAGGTAGGATAGCCTGAGCTACAACGTTCAATAGGTTAGGTGTATTAACTGCATTTTCTACTTTCAATATTTTCAACTTAAAATGGGTTTGCCAAGACATAACCTCATCATAAATCAAAGAGAATCTGTATTAGCACATAGCATGTCAAGTATTACCACAAAATGTACTTTTATTGCTGTGGAAAGAAATAATTTTATTTTTGAAAAATCTTTAAGGCATGTTTTAGGCAGAGGACCAAAACAAAATAATAGGAGCAATCATCTGAAGTAATTACCTGGAATAAAATTCATTCCAAATGTGGAAATAAGCAACTCATCATTTCTAGATATCAAAAAGTTAAAAGAACTCAAATATCCTTCAAACATAAGACACTAATCAAATAAAAATAAAGAATAAACAGCAGTAAGAAGTAAGTTTTCCTCTCATCCTACTCTTTTGTGTGTTTTAGGTCCACATTTTGACTAGGAATTCAAAGTAAAAGATTTTATCCGCATACCCAGATTACTCATGTACAGGCAAGTTCTCTGTGTAGTTTCCAAGTCATTTATTAATTTCAAGGTTTGAAACTTGGAAGGGATCTTTGAGATCACATGGATTATTTTACAAATAAGAAAAATGGTCTGGGCGTGGTGGCTGATGCCTTTAATCCCAACACTTTGGGAGGCCAAGACAGGTGGATCACTTGAGCCCAGGAGTTTGAGACCAGCCTGGGCAACATGGTGAAACTCTGTCTCTACACAAAAAGGAAAAAAAAAAATGGTAGTTTGTTCCTGTGATACTAGCTACTCCAGAGGCTGAGGTGGGAGGATTGCTTGAGCCCAAAATGCGGAGGCTGCAGTGAACCAAGATCACACCACTGCACTCTATCACAAAGTGAACCCTGTCTCAAAAAAAGAAAAGAAAAACTGAAGCTCAAATAATTTGCATGAGCACACAACACATCAGAAGCCAAACCCAAACCAAAAGCCAGGCTACCTGATTCCTGGTCAGCAAGTGATCCTCAAGGAATTCCTACAGGCCATAAAGGCAGGGGGTATAAGCACCACTTTGCATATGAGGATATCATACTCTACAACCAAAGGGCCAGCAAGCAGCTGAGCAATTAGCCATTATCTGAGTGACGTGCAGCTTACCTGCCCATGACAGGGAAGATTAGAAGGGTGAAGAGACAGCAGGGCATTACAGGAATTTTACTAATCAGCTTTTCAAAAAAAATACCTAACCTCACAGATCTACTGGCTTCCAGTTTCGAACTCAGTCAAAATCTATCATGGTTACTTTTATGTGTCAACTTGACTGGGCCACAGGGTGCCAAGATATTTGGTCAAACATTGTTCAGGATATTCCTGTGAGGGACTTTCTAGATGAGATTAACATTTGAATCAGGAGACTGAGAAAAGTAGACTGCCCTCCCAAATGTGGGTGGACCTCATTCAATCAGTCAAAGGCCTCAATAGATCAAAAAGGCTGAGGTCCCTCAGGTAAGAGAGAATTCCTGCTACCTGACTGCCTTCAAACTGGTACATCAGTTTTTTCCTGCCTATGGACTCAAACTGAGACTGCGTCTCTTTCTCAGGCCTTTGGACCCAGACTGGCACTGTACCATCAGCTCTCCTGGTCTCCAGCATGACAACTGCACATCTTAGGACTTAGGGTCTTGTCAGCCTTCATCATCACATAAGCATTTTTCTTTCACACACACACACACACACACACACACACACACACACACACACACCCCCTACTGGCTCTGTTTCTCTGAAAAATCCCGAATACAATGTCCCTGGTGTCTTTATATTTCACACCATCTATAATTGCTTTTTAAAATTTCAATTTTCTGTTCATGAGAAATGTTAGCTCAGGCAAACATTGTAGAAATAGAAAACCCAAAAGAGTTTGCAGAAATACAAAACCCTGCATGCCAGAGCTACTGGATTACAGTTTGAAAATAGATGCCACATCAATATCACACAGAGACATTCTTGAACTGTTTGACAATGAAAAGGCTGTCATTCTCCAGGCCAGTTTGGTGTGAAGCTGACTGGCCCGATCATCTTGATTTTTCCCTTCGGAGGAGGTTTTGAAATATCACACAGAGCAATCACACCACTTGCAAGATTACTGGCACTGCTTCCGTCATTCACACTTGATTTGGATTTCCTTCCTACTAATGAACCAGGAGAGTCTTTCTCCCCCACCAGACCTTTAAGGGGATGTTTCCAAGTACAGTGAATTGGTGAGAGGCAGTTGTACCTAAGTTTTCTTAGTTTTGAGTGGTAGCATAGGATCATTTTGCTAATTGATGAACCTATTAGGCCAGCCAGTAAGAGCATTAATCCATGTGCCTGCGCAACACCTCTATTTACAAGTATTATCATTCTGCTCCTGTGAGAAGTGATGGCAGTGAATAAGGCTGTGTGCCTGGGGGTACTTTGACCACTCATCAGCAATGAGAGGGAACGCACCCATTTCAAAGTGAGAAGGTTGAAGTGAGGTTATCATTGACCTAGATTTTTTTCCTTCAACCACAGAAGCAAACATGTCATTTTTCAAAACCTGCTAATTCAAATAGACTTTGAATACAAGTGTCAAAATATTAAGAGAATAATTCTGTCTCTTCAAGACTTCACCAGCAGCTGGATCAAGAATAGAAGTGAACAACTCTGCTACCATAAGCGTTTTTAAATCTTTTTAGTATGTGAGTTTGCCATTCAGTACAGCATTCAGACATATAACAGTAAGGTTTTGCACTGCGTCTTTAATTTAAGATGTCTGGCAGCAGTTTCTTTTGTCTTCTTCAAGAATAATTGCATTGCTTCAGTTACTTCTAGGGTACTGGAAGAAATTGAACACCCTGATTGCTCAAATAAATATTTTCCTTTTTATCATGGGTGGCAAAGAAGGAGCAGCTGTATTCTGACTGAGGTGTGAAAAGCACAGATGACTCAACCACCTGAAATGAGACACTGGCTTGGCTTCCTACAGCAATACTTCAAGGAGAAGTATGGTAGGCATAGCTTGACTGCATTTCCATCCTCTCCTCCTAGTTTTTTTAAATGCTGATATAGTTCAGATGTTTGTCCCCTCCAAATCTCATGTTGAAATTTGACCCTAATGTTGGAAGTGGGGCCTGGTGAGTGGCATTTGGGTCGTGGAGGAGGATCCCTCATGAATGGCTTGGTGCCATCCCTGCAGCAAAGAATGAGTTTCTGGCCAGGCGTGGTGGCTCACGCCTGTAATCCCAACATTTTGGGAGGCTGAGGCGGGTGGATCACCTGAGGTCGGGAGTTCGAGACCAGCCTGACCAACATGGAGAAACCCCATCTCTACTAAAAAATACAAAATTAGTCAGGCGTAGTGGCACATGCCTGTAATCCCAGCTACTCAGGAGACTGAGACAGGAGAATCACTTGAACCTGGGAGGCGGAGGTTGCAGTGAGCCAAGATTGCGCCATTGCTCTCCAGCCTGGACAACAAGAGTGAAATGCCATCAAAAAAAAAGAATGAGTTTCTGCTCTATTAGTTCCTGAGAGTTCATGAACGATAGTTCATGGTCGATAGAGTCTGGCATGCCTCCTCCTCTCTCTCTTGCTACCCCTCTCACCACGTGTCATGCCTGCTCCCCCTTCACCTTCCCCTATGGTTAAAAGCTCCCTGAGGCCCTCAGCAGAAGCAGGTGCTGGCGCCATGCTTTCTGTATGATCTGCAGAACCCTGGGCCAAATAAACCTCTTTTGTTAATAAATTGCCCAGCTTCAGGTATCCTTTATAGCAATGCAACATGGACTAACACAAGTACCAACCAAAGCTTTAGAAAGGATGCCAGCGTGACCCATTAGCCAGCCCAGTGCAGCAATGAACAGCAAGCTTCATGTAAAAGGAATGCCTGCAGTTTCTCAACCTGTGTGAAGTTTGGTCCAGAACTGCCACATTGACCCAGTTGCATCCCAGTCCGTATCTTGACTGTTACAGATCTGTGCTCATTTGTCAATAGCCCCTCTGGTTCCCATCTCTCCCCAACAAGCTTGATGTTCGAAATGGCTACCTCTCCAGATCTGTGAATTCTGATCTCTCTCCCGCTATGGTGTGCCAGATCCATGAACTGGATCTGAGACTGATAATGACCTTGCTGTTTGGAAGCAACTTCTCAACCTGAGTCCTATGCCTGCAGGTAGTTCCTATTAGAAATGAGTCACCCATTGGATAGCAGGCATGAGTGGTCACACATGGAAGGCAGAGTACTACTAGAAGGGGGAAAGTGAGCTTCCCATCCAAGCATAAATCCCCATAAGGTTTCCCCACCTTAAGCTACCTGTAACCAACCTGGAAAATGTACATCAGCAAAGGTCATCTCCATAGGCCTAGCCAGACTCTTTGGTACTCCTTTTCATCCTTCAAAGCTCTGCTTCTCCCATCCCTCCTACAGGCACCAACACTCTCATTACCTTTCTGTCACCTTCTGCTTTCAAGAAAGGATGTAGTGTCAGTTTTTCACACCCCAGAGGGAGACCAGGCTGTGCTGCCTCTGGTTATGCTGCCTCTGGTAATAATCAAACAGTTACTTGGTGCCCATCACATGGAAGGCCCTGCTTAATGAAAGAAGCAACATGGTAGAGAACTGAGAGCACCAGGCTGAGAGTCTAGAGACCTGAACACAGGCTCAGCTGCACTAAGGTGCTCTGTGACTGCCTGCAGGGACTCCAGTTTCCTCACCGTTGAAACAATAGCACTGGGCTAGGTCATGTTGAAGATATCTATTATTCTAGGCACCTGTGGACTTAAATTTGCACAGTACGTTATACTTTTCAACATATTTTCATTCATTCATTCATTCAACATGTATTATCTCATGCTTCGTGTCAAAACAGCCTGTGAAGTGGATCAGGAAGATAATATTACTATCCCCCACATTATAAATGGGGACTCTGAAGCTCAGTGAGATTACATGACTTCTACCAGCTCACATCTGTCTGAAAAGACATAATGTGTGGTTAGGTAGACAGAACTCATGCAGAAAATGAAAAATAATAATAATAGGTAATATCTGTTTTGTAAGGCAGTAAATACTATGGAATTCAGAGGGACCACCCCACCCTCCCAAGCCCCAAATAACACTTGAGACAACTTTAGTTGGAAAAAAATACTTCCCAATGGCAACATGTGTCCGACAAGGATGGGAAAGCAGGTTGGTGCTCCAAAAAGCTACCTGTGGCAAGAAGAACAAAAGGAACAATGGCTCTCATGAGTGGTTACCATTTTCCTGGATCCATCCTGGCAGAGGATATTGCTTTGATTCTGCTTGGAAATGTGTTGATTTGGAAATGATAACAAGTAACTATTAAATGCTATTTCTGGGCCACAAAGAAGAGGAGTTCCCACAGAGTTCTAGAGTGAGTTTGTACTTATAATGAATAGAAATCAGGGGGAGAGAAAATTTTCACTGACCCAGATTGAGTCACATACTTTGTCATATATCAAGGGTATTTCTGATCACAAGGAGATGCTATCCCAATCTTATCATGACTGCTGTTCAGCCTTAGCCAAAGAAAATAATCTCACTTTTATAAAAATTACCAAGATACCTAATTTTACTTGGTGGTAATATGGCTGAAATGCCCTATCACACAAGACTTTGATTTCCCTTTTCTAAAGTAATTCATAATATAATGTCCCACCTCTGTCCTAATTCTCCCTCTGAGAAATTAAAGGAGGGGGTAAAAACATTCTCCTGGATGACATACATAGCATTTGTGGTTTTCCTTCACTTCTCACACTTAAAAAAATAAAATGTTATACATAAAGGCAATGTTTCAATTATTTTTACAATCCAAGCTCTTGTTTGTTTTTTACTCAAAATGTAATGTGTTACTTTTAATGCATGTTTAAATTTACTTGCCTTAAATTGCATGGCTCAAAGAGGTAGAACTGTGGACATATGATTCCATTGTTATGGCATTTCTAGTGCTACTCGCATACACACAAGTACCTAATGGAGGTGAAAACAAAAATTAATGCCAGTGAAGATGATGATGATGATAATGATGATGATAAGGCTCATAATGATTAACAATAAAGTCTACCTCATCAAAAACTTCTGCACCAGATATAAGCCATTTTCTGTGGTTTTAGAATTTCTTTCCTTCTTCAGTAATACCAGGTTTCACTAAAAGGCTTTTATCTGCTCTTCAGGATGATTTGATGAGATGAAAGGAAGTAAGAAGTTTTCCTTAACTCAGAAGGACTCTTGCTTTATCACACGGGAAATTTAGCAATAAAATATGTCAGGTAGGATAAAAGAGAAATTGCAGAAGAAAAATAAATCATAACAAGCCTCAGATGACCTCCTCTGAGTAAGAGGGCTATTAAAATAGAATTTTTAAAAATGCAAGAAAGTTAAGTTTTGCCGATAGATGTTTGGAACTTGAGCATATCTAAGGAGATGCTGAAGGCAAAGATGCCATCCAATAGCAATAGTTGGTCTGAAAAGGCAGGTCTAGGTCACCTCTTCCCACCACATGGGCCAGAGCTGATTACATATGACAGGTAACCCTGAATAATTGCTCTAATCACTCCAATGAGCCCTCTACCTTGTCTAGAAAAGGACTCATGCATTAGCCAGCTTCAGAGGCCAGACACCCCTAAACCTGACATCTCTAACAAAGACGCGTCAATTTTATTGGAAGCATTATTTGATGTTGCTCTTCAATGGAGGAAGAGATGGGCAAGGAGGGCCTCAAGTTGGCCATAGATCAAGGTCTCATTAAATGGCTCAGGAGTTTGTATTTGCAGGTTAACATGACGTGATGATCAGTTAGTGGAGACTGATAATAGCAAGAAGGGCAAAAACATGTCACCCAGAATTGGGTTGTGGATTCAGCTCTTCCAGAGGGTAGGGGATAATTAGGGTGGTGTGTCATCAAAACTTTTCATGTCAACTAAGGAACATTCTCTCTCTCAATAAGAAACTGTCAGGTCTGCTTAAAGCTGTGAGGGACAGGGACCTCTTTTCAACCTACACCTTCTCGTTGGAGCTGCCAACTTATTTTAGAGGCCCAGGTGGTGAAATGCTTCATCTGGGTCCTGAGCTTTTATGCATTTGTATTTTTTGCTACAGACGAAAACACAAATGATAAAACTTCTTACCCCTTGAGGAAATTGATGTCTATGGCTTTCCCTAATACTCAAGTGTTTTGCCTCACTACTCAGATAATTTTTACAGAAGCCAAAATAAGTTGAGTCTGAGCAACAAATTATCCTAACTGTCCATCCAATGACAAGGAGTTCTCACAAGGGAAAAGCATTGTATCAAAATATCTGTAATATTCTAGAGACGATCGGAGCTCATGGCTCTAAATCGAAGTAATCCTTTCAGTGTAAGTGCATCACCCATGTGCAGCCTTTTCTCTGTTACAGAATTTGGCATATTGTATTGGAGCTATTGATTTTTGTGTCTATTTCTCCATAGTACTTGAGCTCCTAGAGGTCTGGAATCCACCTGCTCACCTTTTAATACCTACTGCCTAACCCAGTGCTTTGTACTTAGTAGGTGCTGAGTAAATGTTATACAACCAATTTTTCCTTAAAGGCTGAATCAATTACTTTGGTTAGCATGATACCAAGTGACCATTTTAACTAAAATTATGCTTCTGAACTGGTTTTCATGTGATGTTGATACCATTCCTTTATTGTTTATTCCAATCTCTCTCTCTCTCTCTTTTTTTTTTTTTTTTGAGATGACATTTCACTCTTGTTGCCCAGGCTGGAGTGCAATGCTGCGATCTCAGCTCACTGCAACCTCCACCTCCTGGGTTCAACCGACTCTCTTACCTCAGCCTCCTAAGTAGCTGGAATTACAGGCACCCGCCACCATGCCTGGCTAATCTTTTGTATTTTTAGTAGAGATGGGGTTTCACCATGTTGGCCAGACTGGTCTTGAACTCCTAACTTCAGGTGATCCACCCGTCTTGGCCTCCCAAAGTGGTAGGATTACAGGTGTAAGCCACTGTGCCCGGCCTCCTCTCTTTCTTTCTCCCTTCCTTTTTCCATCCTTCATTCATTCTGTCTCATTGACTATAAGTCTAATGTAAGATTTTCCTTAAGGAAAGAGAATGTCAGAGAATGAAATGAAAAGCAATGAATATTTATGGAGTGACTATTTTATGTTTGACATGATGCTATTTTTTTCACGCATTATCTCATTTAACCCTCACAAAAATATTGTGAGGCAGCTCATATTACTTCTTTTGAGGAACTGGGCCTCAAAAAAAGGAGGAAATTTTTGCTTTGTCTATTCTAACACCAAACTGTATAAACTTTCCTGTACCAAACTGCAAAATAAATAAATAAATAAATAAATAAATAAATATAAAAATAAAAAAATAGGCAAGTTGCTAACTGGAGTAACATAGACCATGTTCTAAAAAAGGCTCAAAATCCGTAAGATTTGTTTTATTATCCAAGTAATAGAACTAAACACATTTTCTGCACCTCTCTTCTAAGGAAACCAAACAATGTTCTTTACATTTGCTTTCACCTTTACAGGCTATATAAATCTGGAAGTTCACAGAGACTGCTATGAAAAAGAATGTTCCGGAAAACACACACATACCCAGACAGAGCCTCTGACCTTTTCTCTAGAGAACATATAAAGATTCTGTTTGCAGCCAGGCATGGTGGCTCATGCCTGTAATCCCAGCACTTTGGGAGGCAGAGGTGGGAGGATCACCTGAGGTCAGGAGTTCAAGACCAGCCTGGTCAACATGGTGAAACCCTGTCTCTGCTAAAAATACAAGAAATTAGGGGGGTGTGGTGGCGGGCGCCTGTAATCCCAGCTACTGTGGAGGCTGAGGCAGGAGAATCACTTTAACCTGGGAAGCGGAGCTGGCAGTGAGCTGAGGTCGTGCTACTGCACTCCAGCCTGGGCAACAAGAGCGAAACTCCATCTAAAAAAGAAAAAAGATTCTATTTGCTTTTATGTAGGAAGGGAAGGACACATGATGAAGGAAGTGTTCATCTGCAAAATAGTTAACACTTTTAATTGTAGAAATGACATGTTAGAATGACCCTAAAATTTGGTTAAAGCTGTTTTTACAAGCGCAACTAACATACAGAAGGAAAATCAATCTTATTTCAGCCATAAAAAAAATCATTTTCCAAAGGAAACATGATTGTACATCCAAAGCTTGAGCCCAGAACTTGGAAGGCTGTCTAATGCCACATCGGCTTGGACAGGGACTGTGCACTCACGGAGGCCAGCATGACACGATGGCTCCCTGGTTTAATATGGCCGGGCTTCAAACTCCATTAGAAGCGTTGACAGTCACATAGAGTTATCTCAGGAAAAGCAGATTTAAAAACATAAACCTGAATGCAGTAACTGTGTTGTCTCTTCAGCACAGAAAGATGACCTGGAGATCCCCCGCAGCCGGGAGAAGCACAAGTAACACAACTTTGTGTCTCTGCATAAACCAAAACCATATCCTGGGTATTTTATCTCAAGCAGTGACCAGTGTCTCATCTTTGATGCTACATAACAAAGAGAAGTATGAAAATCTTCAGCCACTCCAACTGGGATGCAACGATGTAAAGAACATTGTTTGGTTTCCTTAGAAGAGAGGTGCAGAAAATTTGTCTCGTTCTACTACTTGGATAATAAAATAAATCTTAGGGATTTTGAGCCTTTTTTAGAACATGTTTGATGTTACTCCAGTTAGCAACTTGCCTATTTTTTTATTTTTTTATTTTTATTTTTATTTATTTAAATTTTTTTTTATAATGAATCAATTGTAAGACATCCTGCCTTTTGAAGGTGGTGGTTGGCTTGCTTCATTTGTGGATGATAACCCTAGACAAACACCGATGATATTAATAAGAGATATTTAATGTATCTCTGGGCGGGGCACGGTGACTCATGACTATAATCCCAGCACTTTGGGAAGCAGAGGTGGTGGATCTCCTGAGGCCAGGAGTTTGAAACCAGCCTGGCCAACATAGTGAAACCTAGTCTCTACTAAAAATACAAAAAAATCACTGGTGTGGTGGTACACACCTTTAATCCCAGCTACTCGGGAGGCTGAGTCTGGAGAATGGCTTGAACCCAGGAGGCACAGTTTGCAGTGAGCCGAGATCGCACCATTGCACTCCAGCCCGAGCGACAGAGTGAGACCTTGTCTCCAAAAAATAAATAAATAAAATAAAAATGTATCCCTGTACGTAAATTGAGTGGCTAAAGCTTAGTAGGGTAGGAATGAATCTGGAAAGTTAGGACTTTCAATAATAATTTACATTTCATGACCATGTAGGTTTTTTTTTTCAATCTAAAAGCCAAATATTCATAAACTGCTTCAAATAATTTTGGGCACAATAAATGAATAGTTAGATAAAATGACTAAAAACGTGAAAAACAGGAAGAAGGTTTCTAGTAGGAAACAGGCCTCCCTGTGCTGTAGGAGAGGTTATTCCTCGTGGGCCATATTTCCATTTCATAAACTTGACTGTAGACTTCCCTCCAAAGAACCTAAGGAAACCATACAACCTCCCCTTATAATCTACATAGTCATAAGTAACATGCAACCGTAAATTTGATTCCCTTCATTTACCATTTTACTAAATGTCACTATTCGCTTATAATGTCAGTGACTGGTGAAATCTGCAGAAAAGACAAAGCTTTTCTCCTTAGGTGAAAAACCCCAATCCCAAATCTTTACTATTTTTTTTGTATTATTATTTTTCTTTTCTATTCTTGAAGCAGCAAATGTTTTGGCCTGTTTTGTGCCTGTCTTTGCACTTTGCTTATCAAGTCATCAGTTGTGCAGAGCTTGCTTTCTAATTTTTCAATTGTTGCTGGTGTAGGAACTAGAGCTGCACCAAAAGATCAGAGCCTGTTTCTGTAGCTGCTGCTTCCTCCAGTAACAATTCTATTAGCATTTTAGAGACAAAGCCTTGCAACACATCGATACAGGGAAAGGAATAAAAGAACACAGAATAAAGGTGAAGCATGTTAACATCACTACCAAGAACCAACTCATTTACGATACTGATGAATAACATGCAGAGAATTTTAATGAACAGGCATCCAAAGCATTTTGATACAATGAGATGCCAGAATTTAAATGTTATAATGACTTAAATAGGGCAAAATTACTGATACAGTACTATAAAAAAAGATGCATTTTGGTGGCTCGACTTTTGCACACTTTCACTGAAATTATTGTTCACGGTTGTGTCATTCAAGCACCTGTAAACAGGATTTGGATATCCCCCCGCATAGTGCTCAGAACTTGTGAACAGATCAGCTCGGGCTGATAAGCATCTTAGCACAAACTGCCCAGGTGCTAAATCCATTTAGTCCACTTATTGGAAAGTAACAAGTAATATTTCTTCAAGGGAAATTCTTCCAATGTGTCTCCTGCTAAGCTTAATGAGATTGAGATAGGATGCTGGGGAAGGGAGATGGAAGAGATAATGGGAAGCTCCCAAGCCACGTCTGGAGGAAGACTTCTCTTCTTTTTTTCCTTCGCTTCCTCATCATTCTCAGTTTTCCCATCGCTGGCACACCTAAAAGACTAGGAAGCATTCATTTTCATCAAGAAGTCACCTGGGTGCCAGCCAAAGCAAGTTAACTACTGTTTTCAGATTTTCCATTTGTATAAGAGATTGAGATACTTTAAAATTCCATGTTTGGTATATTATTTTATGATGTAATAGAGTTACATTCACCAGAATAGACCAGGTTATGCTAGGGTAGCAAACTGTCCCCCAAATCTCAGTGTCTTACAGCATCACATGTCTCTTCTGAACATTTTTATTGTCTAAAACACGTCACATGAACATGGGGGATTATGATCTGAGCCCGGGAAAGATGGTGCATATATGTGAACCTTAATAAGAGCTCCTACAGTAATGGACCAGTTGACAAGATTTTAAATGTATGCATTTTAATCTTTAAGTTATTATTCATTGAGTTTTTTAGTATCATAATTTATTTTTCAATAATTTCATAATTTATTTTCAATGGAGTGTGGATGGAAAGAGCCATGGATTTTAAAATATATTATATGGAATATATAGAATATAAAATTATCCATATGTTAAAATAGAGTACTCTTCTGATAATATTTTAGTGTATGTTGTTGATTTCCATGTTTTCAGAAAAAAAAAATGGGAATTCTTTTTCATGATCTTGGATACCAACCCGTGCCATAAAAATGAGATTTTGTTAAGCTAATCATATCTTTCTTCTAATAAATCCCTAGACTCTTCCAACAGGCCCTCAGATCCATCGTGTACCTACAGCTCAGTCATCTTCCCACAAAGGGGATCGTGTCATTCCTTTGCTTCCAAGACTTCTGTGGCTTCCCAGTGCTCTTGACAGTGACTGGCTATGGTGACCAATGTTACCATGGTTACGAAGGCCCTTCTTAACTTGATCCCAGCTTCCTCCTTCAGCCTGGTTGCATGACGCTTCCAGCTCCACCCACACACATGGTACCCCACCCTTCTTTCTTTTTTTTTTTTTTTTTTTTTTTTTTTGAGACAGAGTCTTGCTCTGTCACCCAGGCTGGAGTGGAGCAGTGGAACAATCATGGCTCACTGCAGCCTTGACTTCCTGGGCTCAGGCGATCCTCCCACCTCAGCCTCCCAGGTAGCTGAGACTCCTGGCACATGCCACCCTGCCCAGCTAATTTTTAAATTTTTTGTAGAGATGGTGTTTCACCGTGTTGCCCAGGCTGGTCTCCAACTCCAGGGTTCAAGCCATCTGCCCGCCTTGGGCTCTCAAAGTGCTGGGACTACAGGCGTGAGCCACCACACCAGCCCCCACCTTTCGGTTTCTCAAAAAAGCTTCCCTCAGGGCCCTCTCACATGCTAGAGTCTCTGATTCACACGTGCGCTCCTCCTTTCCATCCCCAACTCCCAAAACCCTTGGTCTGGCCAGCTGCCTCCTGTACCTCCTTCAGCTTGCAGCTCGAGAGCCAGTTTTCCCAGGAAGATTTCTCAGAAAGCAGAGTCTGGGTTCAGCACCCCTGATTTCTACATTGATGCTGGAAGTCACCTGGGTTCCGGCAAAAGCAAAGTAATGACTGTTTTTGGACCTTCCATTTTCATAGAGATGGTGTTCCTGACACGGAGTGCTTCCTCCATCGTAGCATGTTATGCTGTGTACTCACTGCCTAACTACCCTGCTTCCCTCAACAGACTCTCATATGAAAGTGCCGAGGGAACCAATGGCCTGAGGAGGTCTGGGGTCTGTCCAAAGACATCTCAGAGTTCGGGAGAACAGAATTCCCCAGCAGGCACCAGGAGGATGCCACACAGGACCTAACACACTTAAGCAGGTCCCTGTGCAGGGTACAAAGTGACCAGGAAGGAGAGGGCGTCTCAACTCCCCAGAAATTCATGAGCTTCTCCTTTCATTCAGGTGACATTGTGGGAAGGATGAGTGGGAGGAAAGACCCTGAAAGGGAATCTGAAGTTTATTAATTGAACCAATTTATCTGGAAGGGATGATTTTAAAGAGAAAAAGACCATTATCTTTACTTGTCAAATGTGTCTTTCTGTCATCTATGAGAATGGAGGCTGACTTATGCACGTTCAACTAAAAACAATAAGGAAAACTACAATTTTTTCCCATCTTTACATTCTAGTCTATTAAATTTGACCCTGTTTTATTAATAGGGCATATTATCAACTCGACTTCTCTGCCCAAATTTCATACATGAACATTACAGAAGTGTGGGGATTAATTAAATAACACCTTAAAGAAATATTGAACATACTTAAAAAAAGTTCCTTCATTGTGATCAATGCATGTGACATGTTTAGAATTATCCCAAGGTAACATTTATAGAGTGTCCACAATTTCTCAGTGGAAGCATTCTCCTGTTATGAATGAAGAATATGAGGTTGGGGGAGGGAAAATCATTGTCACACAATGCCGCACCGCTAGCTGAGGGCTTCAAGCCCAGTTATGTTTAATTACAAAGGCCACTCGTCTTCCACTTTTCCAAAAGTTTCTAATGGTAGCTTCTACCTTTAAGGCATGTAAGGTTTTTTGTTTTTTTTTTTTAAATCCTATAATACCACCTATAACCCCAGCACTTTGGGAGACCGAGGCAGGTGGATCACGAAGTCAGGAGATCGAGACCATCCTGGCCAACATGGTGAAACCCCATCTCTACTAAAAATACAAAAATTAGCCGGGTGTGGTGGTGTGCACCTGTAGTCCCAGCTACTCGGGAGGCTGAGGCAGGAGAATTGCTTGAACCAGGGAGGCAGAGGTTGCAGTGAGCCAAGACCATGCCACTGCACTCCAGCCTGGTGACAGAGCGAGACTCTGTCTCAAAAAAGAAAAAAAAAGGCCTATAATACAAGATTTAAAGTTCTACAAATATGGACTGTTATCTATACAAATAAGTAGTGCAATTTTCTAATATGTATATTAGAAAATTATATACATAATTTTATATGTACATAATAATATATATAATAATTTGAAAATTATATATATTTTAGGAATCAAAAACTTAGTTCTTCTATTGACATCTATGTGACCTTGGACAAGTGATTTAACCCTTTTGAGCCCAGTATTTCCTCAGTTGTAAAATGAGAGGAATGATACTGACATCAAAGGAAACGCTTGAGGCATAGTAAACATTAAATGAACCTGAAGTCCCTTCACTCTTTGCTCCCTGATGGGAGTCCAAGAGGAAAAAGAAATCACTTTGAAGAGAACGGAGGTGGATCGTTATCAGTTAACGCAATGGCTTCTTCCATCCGGATTGCACTGTGACGCTCATGCTGTTGAAATGGTTAGTGTTTCCACAGGAAAGGCAGTTCTTGATTCCTTTCTCCCTGCTGTCATCCCTCTTCAGCTGCAGGATCAGCAAAGACAGGCTATTTCTCTCAACCACTGCTCTTTACTGAAGCCCATAGAGCAAAGACAGAACCTGGCTAAATGTCCCTAGAATTCAAGCTAAAAAAGAGGCCTTTATCCATGTGCCTCTGTTTCCCAAGTGCCAGAACTGCTATGCACAGTGAACTTCCATTCCATAAGTGACAAAATACATAACCAGAGAGAGGGAACAACCACGTTACAACACAGGGCAGTGCAGCAAATTTAATGCTGATGTGTTTATTGATTAAACCTTGGTTAACCAAATAAAAGTGGTTTTATTTGGTCGTTGTTCAGTGTTGAGAACATTCTTTCCCAAAACTCACATCAAATTAGGCTGACTTGATGATAAAAACATAGTTGCACAGATAATATTAGTCAAGCCTGGGCTATAACAAACATCCGTCACTGTTCAAGATGACAGGCGCTGCTTGTTGGCTAAAATTCTGTCAGACGGTGTTAATAGCAAAGAGAGAGAGAAATTCTTTTAAACTCAAAAAAAGGCCACTCTTATGGTTAAATCAAGGAATCACAATTTTTTTCCTTAAATAAAATGAATCAGACATGAGAATTAGGAATATCAATAAAGTATGTTATTTTACATTTGTATTATTCTTACTTTTTAAAAAAAATGCAAGGGCATATTCCAACACATAGATAAGAGGCACTCAAATAAATTAAATGTAAAATATAACTCTCTGGGGTTAGACATAGGGCCTTTGCTGTTAAGAGTTAAGGAAGAGGTTTTCCTTAAAAATGTGTTTGAGTTTCAGAGATATTTGATAATTAACCGTAATAAGAAACAAATAGAACAACAACAAAAACAACAAAACTTCCTCCTAAATAGAAGCAACCTTAATTGAAAGCAAAGTAAGCAATCATAACTGTGATGGTTTAAGTATTCCTACACAGCCCTCAGGAGGGGAGAAGGATGATGGGGGAGGTGGATGGAAATCAAGTTATTTATTTAAGGATTATGACCTGAAATCCATGTTTAGAATATATATATTTTTTACCTCAAAGCACTGATCCCAGTTAAAATGCAAACATTTCAGAAGGGTTGCACTTCAAGACTTTTATTAGTCATTTACCACTTAGTATAAGCTAGCTCCCAAAAGCAAAATTTGAAAACACAAATGGGCCTGACACAGTGGCTCGTGCTTGTAATGCCAGCACTTTGGGAGGCTGAGGCAGGCAGATCACTTGAGGTCAGGAATTTGAGACCTGCTTGGCCGACATGGTAAAACCCCATCTCTGCTAAAAAACATGAAAATTAGCTGGGTGTGGTGGGCACCTGTAATCCCAGCTACTCGGGAAGCTGAGGCAACAGAATCGCTTGAACATGGGAGGCAGAGGTTGCAGTGAGCCAAGATGGCATCATTGCACTCCAACCCAGGCAACAGAACAAGACTCTATCTCAAAAAAAAAAAAGAAAAGAAAAGAAAAAGAAAAAGAAAACACAAATATGTAGATGGAGGGAGAGTAGGAAAAGGACGGGGTGAAGGAATTAGAGGCACTAGTTCCTTAAAAGGTTATATCCACAACACTAAGAGGAAATTTATCCAAAATGATATTTGGCCTTCTGAAGGTCAACTTCTTTTTGTTTTACAGTTTTGCCAAGGCCCAATACAAATGTTAAATGAATCAAACAATTCTCAGGTCTTAAAAATCAATTTAATTGTGTCCACTTATTTCTTTCAAACATGGCTTAAATGAGTGATGAAAAATGCTCACACACTTCCTGACACATTGCACACTACTTTTTATTAGTTGGGCAGAGAAAGCAGAAAGAACCAGAAAATGTCCCCTGGATACGAGAGAAACTGGATCGGTATGTCATCAAATGTTATCCCCTGAAGGAGTGGTACCATCTCTGCCTTCTTCAGTGCTATACTCCCAGCACCAAGCACAGACCCTCAGGATGATCTTAGGTAACCTTTGTTACCCATAAATCACCTGACCATCAATTTCACCCCCTACCAAATAAGCAGGATTGCATCATTTGGCCGATGAGGAAGCTAAGACTGGGAGAAATTAAAGGATTTCCCCAGAATCACCCAGGAACTTCACAGGAGAGCCAGGATGAAAACACAGCTGCTCCTGGTTCTGCAGTGAACCAGCTGAGTTCCACATCCCACCATGCAAATCAATTTGTCCAGCTGGTTGCTTCCAAGTTTACCTTAAATTTATCTGAGCCACTTATCACTGCCTAATGGACCACCATATTTCAGAAAATCTAAGACACTGTGGGTTGTGACACGCTGCCACGTTTTATATACCACTAAGAGAAAAACCACTACTAACTCAACAAGGACACCATGCTTTCTTACTGCATAGACAATCACTTTATGCTCATTAAAAGAGCTTTTCTAGACCTGACTGGGGATAGATTTTATCATGTATCACCTCTGTGCATGCATTTTGAAGACATGAAATAGATCAGTTAAGATATTCCTAAAACAGGCCGGGTGCAGTGGCTCACGCGTCTAATCCCAGCACTTTGGGAGGCCAAAGCGGGTGGATCACCAGAGGTCAGGAGTTCGAGACCAGCCTGGCCAACATGGTGAAAACCCATCTCTACTAAAAATACAAAAATTAGCCAGGCGTGGTGGTGCATGCCTATAATCCCAGCTACTCGGGAGGCTGAGGCAGGAGAATTGCTTGAACCTGGGAGGTGGAGGTTGCAGTGGGTGGAGATCGCGACACTGACTCCAGCCTGGGTGACAAGAACGAAACTCCGTCACCTAAAAAAAAAAAAAAAAAAAAAAAAGATATTCTTAAAACTTTCTCACAGAATCCCACTCATGTGACTCATTTTTTGACTTACAGCTGTCTTATGTTTACATTTTGCCAAACAATGTCATCTTAGGTAGCTTAAGATCATTGGTTTTGCAGCATTTCTTAAAATAAATTCATAAGAGACCATAAAGCCACCGGTGCTGGCCTCCTGGCCAGCTATGCACAATGCAGTGCAGCACGACTTAACTGCCGCTTCCAGGAGGTTGCTACATTCTGCTAATTCATTGCTGCCCCGACTTCCACCCCAGAACCATTTGTTCATAGACACTAAAAGGGTGGGCCATATTGTCTCTGGGATTGTCTTCCATGCTCTTGACACCTATCCTGAAGTTTTCGATGTCACACTTTTCAGGCAGTGACCATTACAGACCAACAGTGACCCTAAGATGCATCCCAGTATCAGAGATGCTCTAAAAATGTGTATGCATTTGGAATCCATGATATGCTGCACATATTGATTTGCTACTTGTTGTTTATGTCTCTCCACTAGAATGTGAGTGCAAGAGACTTTGTCTATTTTGTTCACCCCCATGTCTCCAGCCCTAGAACAGTGCTGGTATGGTAGGCAAGCAACATTTATTGTATACACAACTGGATTCATTAATTCCATTAAGTTGCTAATTTGGTTGGGGGGTGGTTTAGTTAATTTTTTTCTCTTTGTTAAAAAGCGGTGGACAGGCACAGTGGCTCACACCTATAATCCCAGCACTTTGAGAGGCCAAGGCGGGTGGATCACCTGAGGTCAGGAGTTCAAGACCAACCTGGCCAACATGGCGAAACCCCATCTCCACTAAAAATACAAAAATTAGCTGGATGTGGTGGTGCATGCTTGTAATCCCAGCTACTCGGGCAGCTGAGGTGAGAGAATCACTTGAACATGGGAGGCGGAGGTTGGCACTACTGCTCTCCAGCTTGGGCGACAAAGCAAGACTCCATCCAGCAAAAAAAAAAAAAAAAAAAAAAAGCAGTATATAGTATAATCTTTCTCTCTTTTTTTTTGTAAAATATGTTTATACCTAAAAAGAAGTAGAGATAAATAACCCTATATTAAGAGCTATATATAATTGATTTTTCTTCCTTTTGTTTATTTATACTTTCTAAATTTTCTAGCATGAACATTATTACTTGCTAATTTGATAAGAGCATATATCTGCACATTATTTTAATTTGTATTGCTTTATTTTTATGTGGTAAAAGGTGAAAGCTTTCTGTACTGCATAGCAAAAATACATTGTGAATTCAATTATTTTTGCATCAACTTTATTTTCAATACGTTAACTTTACAACATCTTGGCAGAAAAATTTCTTTAAAATGCATATCTAAAGCCTGAAGACTGGTCGCGGTGGCTCGCACCTGTAATCCCAGCACATTGGGAGGCTGAGGTGGGCAGATCTTTTGAGGCCAGGAGGTCAAGACCAGCCTGGCTAACATGATGAAACTCCATGTCTACTAAAAATACAAAAATTAGTCGGGTGTGGTGGCACATATTTGTAATCTCAGCTACTCGGGAGGCTGAGGCATGAGAATTGCTTGAACCCAGGAGGCAGAGGTTGCGGGAGCTGAGATCGCACCAGTGCACTCCAGCAAAAGCCTGAAGACAAAAGAAAGAAGACCAAGCTAGGGAACCCTGGGATCAATCAAAAACTCTTTAGGAACCCTGGGCAAGGCCCTAGGTCCTGTCACCTGAACAGGTCCCTCTGTCCTCCCAGGTTCTGTGGTCTTCAGGAAGGGTCTCTGGGCATCAAGAAGAAATTCTTTATGTTCTCATGGTTCTGAAGAGGAGGATCATGGGCTGTTGGCAAGTATGAACCATGCTACTCAGAATGGCACGTAAAAGCTGAAGGGAATGCCAGCATTTTGGGAGGCTGAGGCAGGTGAATTGGTTGAGCCTAGGAGTTTGAAACCAGCCTGGGCAACATGGCAAAACCTCATCTCTACAAAAATTACAAAAAGTTAGCCAGGCGTGGTGGTGCACACTTGTGGTCCCAGCTACTCAGGAGGCTGAGGCACGAGAATCACTTGAATCCAGGAGGTAGAGGCTGCAGTGAGCCGAGATCGCATCACTGCACTCCAGCCTGGGTGACAGAGCCAGACCCTGTCTCAAAAAATAATAATAAAATAAAATAAAAGCCAAGGAGACACATTTCAGTCAGATAATCAGCATCTCAAGCTGGTCAACTTCAATCCAGACCAGTGAAGGGATGGGGACAGGGGTAGAGGTTAAATTATGTTTCCCCCAAATTCTTATGTTGAAGCCCTAACCCCTAGTACCTCAGAATGAGATGTATTTGAAGACAGAGCCTTTAAAGAGGTGATTAGGTTAAATGAGGCCAGTGGGGTGAGCCCTAATCGAAGCTAACTTGTGTCTTTGTAAGAAGAGGAAATGTGGACATGGAAGGGGTAGCAGGGATGGGAGCACACAAAGGTAAGACCACATGAGGACAGAGTGAGAAGGTGCCATCTACAAGACAAGGACAGAGGCCTCACCAGAACCCAGCCCTGCCTGCACCTTCCTCTTGGACTTCCAGCCTCCAGAACTGTCAGGAAATAAATGTCTGCTGTTGACACCGCTCGGTCTGTGGTACTTCATTATGGCAGCCTTGGCAAACTGGGGATAGCCAGTTAACGACCCTGGGTCAGCAGGACTCTTCTTTTAACGAAATTTAAACTCGGAGAGCTTTATCTGATCCCCCGTGGTCCATGAAAGACTGTACATGATTCGCAGTAGTGACAGGAAACGCAGGCAGAGATGCCTTCTACCTGCAGTGAATTCCAAAGCACTTCTCAGCTTTTATTCTCGAGCTTCTCCCATACCAAACCTCCATAATTTGCTAAAACTTGGTGACTGAGAGACTGATTTGAAATCCCCTTTTCACCTGGGACTCCTTGATGGTCCAAATAGATGAAGGGCAGGTGGCAGAAAGGACACAGGAAATGAGAAGCTTGGAAAAGGCACTGCTTGGTTAATCAGCCCCTTATAGATAGTGCTGAGTTCGTAGTACCTAACAAGATGTAACGGAAGCTTATTGCATAGGAAAAAGGAGCTGACGGATTATTAGCCTGACACTCTCCATTTGCTAAACGTACAGAACAGATTCATTACCTTTGTCCCCCCGCCCCTTAACAGTATGGGTTTGATTGCCCTCTTGCCTACAGGTAATTCTCCATCAAAATTAAATCCGTCCGCTAGTTCTCAATTTTATAAACTATGCAGGCACAGGGAGAGAGGAGGTCGGGCGGAGGCTCGTGCTGGGTGGGAGGAAGGTTACCTTTCCCAGGGCCACAACGCCAATCCAAAATTCTTCTACTCCTAGAGCTCTGAAGATGCCTGTATTCACGGTCCCATAGTGACACCAGCTGGTCAGATTCCAAAAAACAGCTTAGATGGAGAGGAAATGGCTCAGCCCCCTGCACCGTGCTCAGATGATAAATATACAGCCCTGGCCTCTTGACACTCTGCCTGTTCCAGTTTAAATGACATATGCCATATAAGGCATAAATACATTTATAGAATAAATACACAATACAAAAATGTGTAGATACTTTGGCTGTTACAAGCTCCTCTTCTCTTCCCCAAAAGATCAATGACACTGTTGATGCTTAATTGTCAACCACCATTTTCCTCCCTAGCAATTACACACCCAGTCCTATGAGCTGGCGCAGACTAAATCAGGGGAGGTCCTTGCCAGTTTACCAAGGTAGGGAAGGTTCGCCATTGGGAGAGAGAATGAGGCCTGATGTTCAGTTTGTATGTGACAGATGGAGAAGACGGATTGTGAAGACCAAAAACACCTCTAGATTTGTCCATTTCAGAGCTGCTGGAGCTCCAGAGTCTCTCTCCTGTGAAGACTTCTTCCCCAAAATGCGGCCTTGGCGATGTATTCACGAAATATTCATTTTGGCTCCTGATTTTTTATTCGTCATCTTGTAGTCTTTTTCTTTTCCTTTCAGGAAAAGGCTTCTTCAAATTGTATAAGCTTCAGACTTTGAAAAGCTGGGATCCATACCTGCAATAATGTATATACTAGATGTACTGGTACAAACGTTGGATACCTACTATATCCTCAGCACTGTGCTGGGTGCCGGGACATGTGCAGGAAAGGAGCAGGAAGCTTCCTACTCGATCAGTTAACCACACCAGCACATAAAATAACTAGCCAGCGTTGCAATGCAATATGTAATCAAAGACTAAATTGTGTAATCCAAATTATGTGCACAGTAGCCTGGAAATTCACAGGGGGAAATAGAGGTTATTAAAGGATGTGAAGCAATTCTGGAATGCTTCACTGAAGAAGTTTTAAGTGGAGCCAGAAAAGTATGGGAGAAAGGAAAAAGAAGTAACTAATCAAGGGGGAGAAGGGGGAGTGAAAGCCTCGAGGTGGAAATGAGGTTGTTTTGTTTTGTTTTGTTTTGTTTTTTTGAGACAGAGTCTCACTCTGTTGCCCAAACTGGAGTGCAGTGGCATGATCTTGGCTCACCTCCACCTCCTGGGTTCAAGCAATTCTCCTGCCTCAGCCTCCTGAGTAGCTGGGATTGCAGGCTAATTTTTGTATTTTTAGTAGAGGCAGGGTTTCATCATGTTGGTCAGGCTGGTCGCCAACTCCTGATCTCATGATCTCATGATCCACCCGCCTCGGCCTCCCAAAGTGCTGGGATTACAGGTGTGAGCTACCACACCTGGCCAAGGGAATTCGGTCATTTTTAGTGAGGAAGAATGAGAGCAGCTTGACAGAACCAAGCTGCACATTGGAAAGTAGTGGGAGACATTGGACTGAATGAGATGGGAATCCAGCTACCAAGGACAAGGACAGCCCCTCAAGAATTTTGACTTGACTTTGAGATCTCAAGTGAGAAAAACCACACAAAGGTAACTCTGCTGGCATTTTACACAATGATTACGCACATTTTTCTAATAACTTGCTGGAAATAGAATGAGCATTGCAGCACCATCGGACAGGTGCCTTACTCATTGGAGATGTCTGGACAGTGCTGTGATCATCCTCGCCAGCTGCAGCAATAGCACCCTGGGTCCTGCAGCCAGAAAGAAGGATCTGATCATCACCTCGTCCTCATGCTGTGCTGAGGAGCCTTGGTGCACAACTATTGGCTCGTTTTGGGCAGGACAGGTAAGTCCCAGCTGCAGAGCTTATGACACACAATTTTTACCTAAACTTCTAACTTTTATCCACGATACCTACTCCCCTTTCACTGCCTTCCTAACTTCTTGGCTCTTAGAATGTCCCAGCTTCATGCTCTTTTTAAATACCTGTATAAGAAATCATGTCTTTAAATAAGTAGAGGGTGCTTTTCGTGTTACCATGTAAAGGTTTTGAAATAGCCCCTGAAAAAGACATAAATATCTCTCTTAGCAGCCTATCAAAATGCCAGACTTCTCGGCATTTCGTGTCATTTCCTGTGGATTAACCCAATATCAATGTCAAGCTTCTTGAAGACAGAAATGATGCCATTTCCTAGCATTTCCCAATGCCTCGAATTTGCCTAGCAGGTAGGAGTTGCTCCATAAATGTTTGTCGGATGGACCGATAGATGGATGGATGGGTGAGTGGGTGGGTGGGTGGATGGATGGATCTTTGGTTGGATACATTTAAAGTAAAATGAAACATCCTGGCTAACACGGTGAAACCCCATCTCTACTAAAAATACAAAAAATTAGCCGGGTGTGGTGGCACGCGCCTGTAGTCCAAGCTACTCGGGAGGCTGAGGCAAGAGAATTGCTTGAACCTGGGAGGCAGAGGTTGCAGTGAGCCAAGATTGCACCATTGCACTCCAGCCTGGGCGACACAGGAAGACTCTGCCTCAAAAAAAAAAAAAAAAAAAGTATAATGAGAAACTGGAACTATGTATGTGTTGGTTCTGATAGGCGTGGACCCATCCCATTGTCATTGTTGTCAGGATCTGGATCAGCAAGACATTGGCCAACTGGGACAAAGAGAAGAATAAGACTCAAAAACTGATGGGAAGAACCAAATACTACTGAAGACCAACTTCACTGCTCAAAGTGGCCTGGTGCCAGTCCTTTTCAGGAATTAAATGAAACTGCAGCTTCACTGAACCACCTCACAATTCCATTTGCAGACAGGAATGCCCCAGCAGATCCCAACAGGATGCTCACCCCATGGAGGGACAGAGTGGGTTGATCCAGCCCACTAATAATGCTAACATTTCTACAGCGCTTTCTTAGGTGCCAGGCTCTGTTCTAAGTGCTCTACTTACATTAACTCCTTTAGCCCTCATGACTAACTTTACAGGTGTGTAGTACTATTTTAGAAATAGTCCATTTTACAGTTGAAACGCTGGAACACAGAGATGTGAAGTAGCTTCATCCAGGCTACACTCCTAGTATGTGGTAGGGAAGGGAATGCCACAGGGAGCCTGGGCTTTGATACCAGGCTTTTCCCCATCTGCCATGCTGCTCTTGGGTCCCAGCTAAGGGTAGAACAAAGATAGAGGGCCTCGGGCCAGGCGCAGTGGCTCATGCCTATAATCCCAGCACTTTGGGAGGCTGAGGTGGGCAGACCACGAGGTCAGGAGTTCCAGACCAGCCTGGCCAATATAGTGAAACCCCGTCTCTACTAAAAATACAAAAAAATTAGCCAGGCATGGTGGCGGGCACCTGTAGTCCCAGTTACTCAGGAGGCTGAGGCAGGAGAATCGCTTGAACCCTAGAGGCGGAGGTTGCAGTGGGCCGAGATCGTGCCACTGACTCCAGCCTGGGTGACAGAGTGAGATTCCATCTCAAAAAAAAGAAAAAAAAAAAAGATAGAGGGCCTCAAGTACACAAAATCACTGCACATCCAACCACACCTGAAGCCAACTATAGCCAAGAATCACCAGGTAAATGTATTTTTCCAACACCTACACATAAGCTACATTCTCAAAGAGTATTTTATAATGATTCCTTCAAACAGGTAATATTAGTAGTTGGTAGTCAGTGCAAGTTTGGAACTAAGCTTTCAGAAATGGGAATTTTTAAACCTTCCAGAGACAACAAGTATGATCATGAGCCCAAATAAAGAGCATGACTTCCATAGTTCATGAGTAAATTTTAATTGTACAATATAAGATAGAGACTGCAGCACAGTGTAGATGAGGTGGATTCTCAGACAATGTTAAGACATAAAAGACTCCTTTTAGAGAGGTGCACAGCTATGCCAGTTAGCCTAGGCCCTGTGTAAACTAATAATACAAGAAAATTAACCATTCAGTAGTGTGGTCATAAGAAAATATAGTTGAGTTGATCTTAGTCCAGACCTCCTCCTTCACTGGCTTAACAGAGGAAGGCCTTTTGGTAGGAATTTTGACAAGGTGCTGATAGTATCTTAACCCTGTGTTTTGCTTTTTTTTTTTTTTTTTGGAGACAGAGTCTCATTTTGTCACCCAAGCTGTAGTGCAGTGGCGTGATCTTAGTTCACTGCAGCCTTGACAACCCAGGCTCAGGTGATCCTCCCACCTCAGCCTTTCAAGCAGCTGGGACTATAGGTGTGCATCACCACACCCAGCTAATTTTTGTATTTTTTGTAGAGACGGGGTTTTCTATGTTGCCCAAGCTGATCTTGAACTCCCGGTCTCAAGGGATCCTTCCACATCAGCCTCCCAAAGTGCTGGGATTACAGGTGTGAGCTACTGCACCAGGCCCACTGTCCTAACATTATGGGAGAGTCTGTGATTCAAGTAGATGAATGCAGGAACAGGAGGTTGACAGGTAGGGGAAAGAAAAATGGAGAGTATCATGCTCATACCCTGAGAAGGGTAGAGAGGGGATTGGGGAAAATTGTTGGGATCATTGGATTCATTAGATCCCAAGAAACAGTCTAAAACCTCCTAGTATATTTTTTAAAAGATGGGATCTCCCTCTGTTGCCCAGGCTGGCCTTGAACTCCTGGGCTCTAGTGATCCTCTCGCCTCTGCCTCCCAAGTAGCTGGAATTACAGGCATACACCACCATGCATGCCCTAAAACCTCCTAGTATCCTGAGGAAGAAACCAGATGACTAAGTTCTTGGTTTTTTAGATCCGGGGGGACATGTGCATGTTCGTAACACGAGTATATTTCGGGATGCTGAGGTTTGGGGTATGACTGATCTCATCATCCAGGTAGTGAGCATAGTTCCCTATAGGTAGTTTTTCAATCCTTGCCCTCCCCCTTCCCCTTTTTGGAATCTCCAGTGTTTATTGTTCTCATCTATGTGTTTGTGTATACCAAATGTTTAGCTCCTACTTATAAGTAAGAACATGTGGTATATGGTTTTCTGTTTCTGCATTGGTTCACCTAGGATAATGGCCTCCAGCTACATCCATGTTGCCGCAAAGGACATGATTTCATTCTTGTTTATGGCTATGTAGTATTCCATACTGTCTATGTACCACATTTCCTTTCTCCAGTCCACCATTGATGGACACCTGGATTGATTCTATGTCTTTGCTATTGTGAATAGCACTATGATAAACACACACGTGCAGGTCTCTTTTGGGGTACATATATTTACCTTTGGGTATATACCCAGTAATGGGATTGCTGGGTTGAATGGTAATTCTAGCTTTAGAAAGAATTCTCCATACTGCTTCCCACAAAGGCTGAACTAATTTATATTCCCACAAGGAGTGTATAAGCATTCCCTTTTCTCTGTAACCTCACCAGCATCTGGTATTTTCTGACTTTTTAATAATAGCCATTCTGACTGGTGTGAGATAGTATCTCCTGGTAGTCTTGATTTGAATCTCTCTGATGATTACTGGTGTTAAACATTTTTCATATGTTTTTGGTCACTTGTAGGCAATCAAGTATTAAATGAGATAAATGAGGCATGCAGGAAATTATTTATTTCTTAATTAAAGGTAAACTTGCTTTTAAAGGTAAAGAAAATATATTGGTAAAGGAAGAATGGAGGGGATGATTAAAACTGAAAAAGTCTTAAAAATTTAAAGGGCTGTCAGGTGCAGTGGCTCACACCTGTACTCCCAGCACTTTGGGAGGCTTAGGTGGGAGATCGCTTAAGCCAGGAGTTTGAGACCAGCTTGGGCAACATAGCGAGACACTGTCTCTGGAAAAAGATACAAAAATTATCCAGCCATGGTGGCATGTGCTTATGATCCCAGCTACTCAGGAAGGGGGTGAAGTGTGAGGATGGCTTGAGCCCAGGAGGTAGAGGTTGCAGTGAGCCAAGATTGCACCACCGCACTCCAGCCTGGCCATCAAAGCAAGACTCTGTCTCAAAAAATATAAATAAATAAAATAAAATAAAAAATTTAAGCGCATTGGCATGTTGTATTACCATCAAAACACAACTAATTATTGAATAATTTAAGAATTTATTTTCTCATGTGTGGAGTGACCAAGCTCTTCTTTGTAACTACTGCCTACAACAAAGATTTCCTGCTCACTATCTGTATCAGCCACAGGTCAGCAGTGGTTCTGATCTGTGTGCCTTCTTTCAAATACAGGTTGAAGAACCCCCACCTCAACCCCCATGTGGGGGCATAATGATCTTGTGGCAGAGAAAAAAGGGTTAAGGCCAAACCACCCAACAGCTCTTCAAGCTTCTTCTCACATTTCCTCAGCCACAGTAAGTCAAATACCCACCCCTGACATAAGTAGGGCAGAAAAGTATAACCCTCAGTTAGGGATGCACTGCAAGCCACATGGCTGGAGACAGGGATATATCATCTTCTTACAAGGGAAGGCAGAAAACAAGTAGGAACAGTAATACAATCTACCCTTTCACTATATGCTCACTCTCTCACATATCTTGTACAAAGTAGATGCTCAATAAATGATTTGAACTAATATGTGAATGACTTAAGGTTGACCATGACCTCACAAATGTAGATTGATTCATCTTCTCTGGTGCAGAGTTTTATCCCTTGGTATGTTACTCAGTAACTTTCCCTTTTCTTCCATAAATGTCCTACTAAGAACGAATCTCACAAGCATAATGTTAAGCAAAGGAAGCCACATGCAAAAAAGTACTTACTAACAGAGGAGTGGATAAAGAAATTGTGATGTGTCCAAACAACAGAATGCTAAAGAGCGATAAAAAAAAAAAAAAACTACTGATACACAAAATAGCATGGGTACATCTCAAAATAATTATAGGGAGTGAAAGACCAAAAAAAGAGTACATTCCTTATGATTCCACTTCCATCAAATTCTAGAAAATGCAAACTGATTTATGGTGACAGAAGCAGATCAGTGGTGGCCTGGGGAGAGTAGAGGAGGGGCAGGGAGAGGGTAGATAAGGAAACTTTGGGAGTGATGGATATGTTCATTATCTTGATTGTGGTGATGGTTTCATGGGTGTATTCATATGTCAAAACTCATCAAATTGTATCCTCTAAATATATGGAATGTATTGTACAACATCATGCCTGAACAAAGCTTCAAAAATAAATGCTTTAAAAAGGCTACTTACCATATGACTTTGTTTATATAAAGTTTTAGCAACAGGTAAAACCAATCTATGGTATTTGAAGTCAAGGTGGTGGTTACTTTTCAGATCAGTAACTGGAAGGATTAGAAAGGGGTGCATGAGAGGGCGCTTTTTGATCTGGGTGCTGGTTACGCAGGTGTGTTCTATTTGTGAAATGTTGATCTGTATGTTTACAATTGACACACTTTTCTGTGTGCAAGTTGCGCAGCAAAAAAAAACTGTTTAAATGTGCCATTTTTTTAAAAGATGGAATTTCACTCTTGTTGCCCAGGCTGGAGTGCAGTGGCGCAATCTCAGCTCACCGCAAGTGAGCTCCTGGGTTCAAGTGATTCTCCTGCCTCAGCCTCCTTAGTAGCTGGGATTACAGGTACCCACCACCATGCCCGGCTAATTTTGTATTTTCAGGAGAGACAGGGTTTCTGCAAGTTGGTCAGGCTGGTCTTGAACTCCCGATCTCAGGCAATCCACCTGCCTCAGCCTCCCAAAGTGCTGGGATTACAGGCATCAGCCACCGCGCCTGGCCAAATGTGCTATTTTCTTTAAAATATCAACCATCTTAAAAAATAACAAAGACCTTCCTCATAAATTATTTATGATGACAGAAAACTAATAGTTGTGTGATCACATTCATTTAGTATCTGCTTTTGAATTCAAAGGCTATGAGTGGATGTGTTCCTGCCAGTGTCCATGACAGAGGACAGACCACAGGGCTTGTCAGTCATAGACACCAGGACTGAGCAGTTGCAGGGACAGGTGGAGGAATGCATCAACTACTGACCAGGGTGCCAGTGTTTGTCTCCAGATATGTGCCAATTCTGATGCTTCTGTTCTCTCTTGTGCCCTTAGTCGGAATTACTGCTGCCAGCACTCTCTTCTTGCACGGCGGCATATGGGAAGCTACATATATGGACAAATGGCACGTGTGCTCATAAAACAACTGAAAAAGCAGGCAAGCTATGTCAAAGTCCCACAGTTGGGATTACACTGTTGCAGACAGCTGACCTAAGATAAGAAATGAAAATTCCTAGACACTTTTATGAGCCCATCATTTTTACCATTTAATATATTAAAAGAAAGAAAACCCTGTTCCTACTGATTGATTACTTTAATGAATAAATGTACGGTCAATGATTTGGTGGTTGGAATGGATTAAATTTCCCTTGCTGGCAAGAATGGCCCTAAATAAAAATGAATGAAAGGTTTATCTTTTTCAACAACCTCCCCTTATCTCCCCCAAAAAAAGATAGAAAATCAGTCTGAATTTCAAATGACTTTGGTCTTTGTGTTTGTTTTATAAACTATTACCTGGCCCCTGTCAATGTCCCTGTGGAGTAAAAACAAATTACAGTGTCTCAAATTGTGTGCTCAAGTAATTTTAAAAGAAAAATTTTTCAAAATGTCATTGATCTGTTGTAGAAACTACTACTCTGTTTTCATGCAGAAAGCTTTAAGATTCCCCACTGGACCCCATCTAATAAGAAAAAAATGAAAATAACCATAACTACCTAGGCCCATCATTTAAAACGTGAAAAAAGACAAAAATAAAGAACTGAAAAATATAATTCCACATCAACAATCCACTGTCTACCAGGTGCTGTGCTACGGACTACATAGATAAGTGAAAAACAGATTTTGGGCCGGGCACACTGACTAACACTTGTAATCCCAGCACTTTGGGAGGCTGAGGCAGGTGGATCACCTAAGGTCAGGAGTTCCAGACCAGCCTGGCCAACATGGTGAAACTCTGTCTCTACCAAAAATACAAAAATTAGCGGGGCTTGGTTGCAGGTGCCTGTAATCCCAGCTACTTGGGAGGCTGAGGCAGGAGAAACGCTTGAACCCAGAGGTGCAGGTTGCAGCGAGCTGAGATTGCACCACAGCACTCCAGCCTGGACAAGAGCAAAACTCCGTCTCAAAAGAAAAATCAACAGATTTTGTTACCTGGAAGTGGGCTGCTGTTCTAGTAAGATCCTAGAATATATACTAGTGGCTTAATGTTCCAGTGGTCGGTAGAAGTCCTAAGGACCATGAAGAGACCATTAGTAGAATTGAATATGGCCTCTAAAAGGTTGTAATAGAGGGCTCATAAAAAAGTTAAGAAAATGTTACCAGAAGCTAGAGGAAGGAAAGGGGATCCTTGTTATTTAGTAGCAAAAAATATAATAACACTGTTGCCTGTGTGTCTTAGTCCATTTTGTGCTGCTGTAAAGGAATACCTGAGAGTAGGTCATTTATAAAGAAAAATGTTTCGGCCAGGCACATTGGCTCACGCCTGTAATCCCAGCACTTTGGGAGGCCAAGGTGGGTGGATCACTTGAGGCCAGGAATTTGAGACCAGCCTGGCCAACATGGTGAAACCCCGTCTCTACTAAAAATACACACACACACACAAAATTAGCTGGGCATGGTAGCGTACGCCTGCAATCCCAGCTACTTGTGAGGCTGAGGCAGGAGAATCGCTTGAACCCGGGAGGCGGAGGCTGCAGTGTGTTGAGACTGCACCACTGCACTCCAGCCTGGGCGACAGATACTCTCAAAAAAAAATGTTTTATTTGGCTCACGATTCTGCAAGGGATACAAGAAGCATGATGCCAGCATTTGCCTCTGGTGAGGGGCTCAAGCTGTTCCACTGGTGGCAGAAGGTGAAGGAAAGCCAGTGTGGGCAGCAGGCACATGGCGAGAGAATGAGCGAGAGAGAAAGAGGGAGGTGCCAGCCTTTTTTTAACAACCAGCTCTCTCAGTACCTGACAGAGTGAGAACTCACTCACCTCCAAGGAAGGGCATTCATCTATTCATGAGGGATCTGCCCCATGACCCAGTCACCGCTGTTGAGGCCCCACCTTCAACCCTGGGGGTCGAATTTCAACGTGAGATTCAGAGGAGAGAAATATCTAAACTACAGCACTATGAGAACATGGAAATAGAAAATGTCATTGGGTGACAAGCCCTGTGACTCATGCTTGTAATCCTAGCACTTTGGGAGGCTGAAGTGAGAGGCTCACTTGAGCCCAGGAGTTCAAAATCAGCTTGGACAATATGGTGAGAGACCTAATCTCTATAAAAAATAGAAAAATTCGCCAGCTGTGGTTGCACACCCCAGTAGTCCTGGCTACTCAGGAGGCTGAGGTGAGAGAATCGCTTGAGCCTGGGAAGTGGAGGTTGCAGTGAGCTGAGATCATGCCACTGCACTCCAGCCTGGGCAACAGAGAAAGACTCTGTCTCAAAAATATAAAGAAAAGAAAAGAAAACGTTATTCTGAAAGGGATAATCTAACTGATATGGTTTGGACTTGTGTCTCCACCCAAATCTCATGTCAAATTGTTATCCCCAGTGCTGGAGGTGGGGCCTGGTGGGAGGTAATTAGATTATGAGGGCGGACTTCCCCCTTGCTGTTCTGATGATAGTGAATAAATTCTCACAAGATCTAGTTGTTTAAAAGTGTGTAGCTCTTCCCCCTTCTCTCTCTCTTCCTCCTGGTCCAGCCAGGTAGGACGTGCCTGCTTCCCCTTCCCCTTCTACCATGATTGTAAGTTTCCTGAGGCCTCCTCAGCCATGCTTCCTACACAGCCTGCAGAACCATGAGCCAATTAAACCTCTTTTTCTTCATAAATTATCCAGTCTCAGGTAGTTCTTTATAGCAACATAAGAATGAACTAATACATCAGCTAAGGAGATTTCCAAGCAAAGTGGTGAAGGTGCTGCCTGGCTCTGTTTGCCACTACAGTAAAATGTAAGTAGAGAAACAAACTAAACTAAATAAAGTAAAGAAAGAATTGTTAATATAAAGGAACTAGGTCTTGCTAGGTTTAAAAATAAAACTGTTTTCCTTCCCTGGCTTTCCAGATAGCAAACAATACAAAAAATACAAAAAGTAAGAAACGCCTTCCAGACTTACCCTCCCCTACACACACACAAAAAAAAATAAAAATAAAAAATAAATAAAATAAATTCCAGAGCACTATCAGGAAAGCATGAACTAAAGATGAAGCCAAGGATGTGACTGTCAAACCATGTGTTATGGTCTCAGAAGGCATTGCCCCTTCCAAACAGAAAAAAAGTCCCCGTAAATGAGTCTTCACGTCATTGTCCCTCAGCTGCCTTACAGGGAGTCTAAGCTAGAGATATTTGGGAAGAGATTTCTGGCTTTTCTAATGGAATGAATTACAAATTGATTCACACAATAAAATACAACACTTTCAAAGGAATTCCATTACTTGAAATAAAAGGGATAGATAGTTAAAAAAAATAAAATGAAGCTTTTAAAACCTCAAATTTCTGTGAGTAGGAAACAGAGTGAGAAAATTGCTCAAGTGCATGCAGGGGCCACATTTTATGAAAAAAAAAAAAAAAAAAAGGATTTCAGAGGATGGAGCCAAGAGCCACAGTGAATCCTAAGGCCTAGTGTCCAACCTAGACATTAGGCTTGAGCCCTAATCACGGAACTGGCAACACATGCTGAATTTCAGAGTTGTGTGCCTATAACTGCTGTGTGCCCTTACCCTTTTCTTCTTTTCACATTTTAGAAAACAGTTCTATTGACATAATTGACATACAAAAATACAGTACTTAAATTGGACAATTGGATATGGGGCAACTGTGAAATCGTCATCGCAATCAAGATAATGTACATGTCTCCCTCATAGTGTGCTGTCAACACGTCTTAGTCACAAAGACATCCTTTCACACGGCAGCCATCATTTTTGTCTTGCTAGTAAGCCGAAGGAAGCCTCACCATCCTTTCCAAGTGATCCAGATCCACTATCTGTCCAACTGGATGAAGTCTCCTCACCATACCCCAAAACCTGCAACTGCAGAACCCCACACCTGCCCACTCCCCTGCCAGAGAAGTACTTTCCTGTGAGTCTAACACTGAGATAAGGTAACACCTCCCTCACATCTCTGCATCCAGGTGAAAGGTGAGTTTCAGCCCATAGATTTTACAGTGCCTTCAAATCAGACAGCTACTTTGGAAAGAATGTCGTTAAGACCTTACCTCCGTGGTGAGGAAGCTTAAAGCCCCATAATGACTAAAGTTCACTTTAGTTCTCTCTCTCTCTCTTTTTTTTTTTCTTGAGACGGAGTCTCACTCTGTTGCCCAGGCTGGCGTGCAGTGGTGTGATCTTGGCTCACTGCAACTGCCACCTCCCAGGTTCTAGCGATTCTTCTACCTCAGCCTCCCGAGTAGCTGGGACCACAGGCGTGTGCCACCACACCCGACTAATTTTTGTATTTTTGGTAGAGACCATGTTGGCTATGTTGGCTAGGCTGGTCTTGAACTCCTGACCTCAGGTGATCCACCCGCCTCAACCTCCCAAAGTGCTGGGATTACAGCCGTGAGCCACCACATCCAGCCAGTTCTCTCTTTCACCAGCGCATTACAAGGACATTTCCTTCCCTCAAAGAAGTCTTAATTCAAAAATTATCTATCCTCCACTTCCTTGGTTTTCACCCAACCTGACCCAGCCTTTAGTCTTTGGGGAGGTGAGATGGGGCGAGGGGAGGAGGCAGATTTCAGTTACTTTCTGCTGTTGCTCTAGACAGGAGTTTCCCTGAAAATGGAGATCTTAGGATTTCAACTGAGGGCTAGATAAAAAACCAAGTTAGAAACGTTTCCTGAAGGAAAAAAAGTAAGATGGCTAAGGTTGGATTACATGTAAACCCTCTAAACTTAGATACTTCTTTTAAGGGGGTCCCTTCACTCTTTTTGAACAGGAGTATCTATAGTGGCCATTCTATGCCTATCCCACCATTGCATGTTGAGAAAGTGAGACCCAGATAATGCGTCACTCTAGTTACTGGTCTTCCAATCAAAAGGAACAGTTCTCAAGGAGTTGTTTGAGAGGAACAATATTTGAAGAACCTCATCCTCACTTGGACCTGATTTAGGTGCTGGGATTCTAGACCTTGAGTCACAGCCAGAAGTCCAAATGGGATGAAGCTTTAGGGCAAATGTATTTTGAATGTGTGAGGGATATGCATTGTTGTGGCCAGAAGGTAGATGGTAGCAGATTGCATTTTTCAAAAATGGCTGCAACAATAATTGTAGTCCCGTGTGCCCTTCCAGAATCTTGCCACCACTCTTTCTTTTTCATTTTCATTTTCTTTTTTTTTTTTTGAGATGGAGTTTCACTCTCGTCGCCCAGGCTGGAGTGCAATGGCACGATCTCGGCTCGCTGCAACCTCTGCCTCCTGGGTTCAAGCAAGTCTCCTGCTTGAGAGTATCTGGGATTACAGGCACCTGTCACCACGCCCGGCTAATTTTGTATTTTTAATAGAGATGGGGTTTCACCATGTTGGTCAGGCTGGTCTGGAACTCCTGACCTCAAGTGATTCACCCACCTCGGCCTCCCAAAGTGCTGGGATTACAGGCGTGAGCCACTGCGCCTGGCCGCCACCACTCTTTCAAGAGGTAGAATCTATTCCCTTTCTTTTTAAATTCGGGCAGCCTCGGTGAACAGCATGTGATAGAAATGACACTGTAAGACTTCCACTTCTGGGTAATTTTACAAATAAATTTTGCAAAATGTCATTGATCTGTATGAAAACGGCAACTTTTTTCTCTTGCATAAAGCTTACAGATTCCCCCAGTAATCCGCACCAGAAGAAAGAAAAAATCAAAACCATACAACCATGATTGAAATGTGAAAAAGACAAAAATCAAAAATTAAAAGTTCAGGCCTAGCATGGTGGCTCACACCTATAACCCCAGCACTTTGGGAGGCCAAGGCAGGAGGATCACTTGAGCCCAGGGGTTCAAGACCAGCCTGGGCAACATAGTGAGAGTTCATATCTACAAAAAAAAATTAAAAATTAGCCAGACACAGTGGCATGCACCTGTAGTCCCAGCTACCTGAGAGGCCAGGTGGGAGGATTACTTGAGGCCAGAAGGTCGAGGCTGCAGTGAGCCGTGATGGCACCACTGCACTCTAGCCTGAGGGACAGAGCAAGACCCTGTCTCAAAAAAGAAAAAATTAAAAGTTCAGGTTAACTTTGGATATCTACCATTTATCTGGCACTGTTATAAGACCAGATATACACAGGTAAATAACAATCTCTATCCTCATGTAGTTCACTGACAGGCAAAGATGACATGATATAAGCCATTAATATAACATAATATAAGATGTGCTGGAGGCTGGGCATGGTGGCTCACACCTGTAATCCCAGCACTTTGGGAGGCCGAGGCGGGTGGACCACCTGAGTTCAGGAGTCCAAGACCAGCCTGGCCAACATGATGAAACCCCGTCTCTACTTAAAACACACAAAAAATAACTGGACATGGTAGTGCATGCCTGTAATCCCAGCTCCTCAGGGGGCTGAGGCAAGAGAATCACTTGAACCCAGGAGGCAGAGGTTGCAGTGAGCCAAGATCGTGCCATTGCACTCCAGCCTGGACAACAGAATAAGACTCCGTCTGAAAAAAAAAAAATGTGCTGGAAAAGATGGCTGCAAACAACGCTTTAAACAAGAAATAGGAGAGTGAATAGTTCTATCATGGAGAAGACAAAAAAGTAGTTACAGAGTTTATACTGAGATGAGTGTTGAAGAATAAATAAGATTTTGCCAGGTGGACAAAAACATTCAAATAAAACCTTTGACATAATCAGGACTAGATTTAGCTATATATGTGGCAGAAAAAACACACACACGCACACACACAAAACTAAATGGCATAAGCAAAACAAATTTTATTTCTTGGTTACGTAGAAAAAGCTTGCCCGACCTACGGCCCCGAGGATGCATTGGGACAGCATTACACGTGGCTCAAATCAAATTCGTAAACTTTCTTAAAACTTATGAGTTTTTTTGCAATTTCTTTTTCTTTTTTTTTTTTCTTTTAGACGGCGTCTCGCTCTGTCGCCCAGGCTGGAGTGCAGTGACGCGATCTCGGCTCACTGCAAGCTCCACCTCCCGGGTTCACGCCATTCTCTTGCCTCAGCCTCCCAAGTAGCTGGGACTACAGGCGCCCGCCCGTTACCACACCTGGCTAACTTTTTGTATTTTTAGTAGAGACGGGGTTTCACTGTATTAGCCAGGAAGGTCTCGATCTCCTGACGTCATGATCCGCCCACCGCGGCCCCCCAAAGTGCTGGTATTACAGGCATGAGCCACCACGCCCGGCCGCAATTTCTTTTTTTTTTTTTTTAGCTCATCAGCTATTGTTAGTGTTCATGTATTTTATATGTGGCCCAGGACAATCCTTCTTCCAGTGTGACCCAGGGAAGCCAGAAGATTGACATGGAGGCATCTGGCACGTGATCGAGATTGGCATATGTCATCATATCACCCAGGCCCATCCAACCTTTAGTCTTTGGGGAGCAGGGACAGGGGTGAGGAGGGGAGCTAGGTTTCAGTTGCTTTCTGCCCTTCCTGGGGGTTTTCCTAACAATAGAGGTTTTTGGATTCTCACTGAAGGCTAGGAAGAAAGTCATTTAGACACTTTTCTTGAAGAAAGCAAGATTTGGCAACTCTATAGTCATGAGTGAGCCGAGCTTCTTCTCTTGTTTTTCTGCCACATTCATGTATGGCTTCCTCCTCATCGTCCAAGATGGCTGTTGCAGCTCAAGCCATCACATCTGCTTTCCAGTCAGCAAAAGGAAGAAGGTCAGACAAGGGAGGGCTCATTCACATGACACTTTGGCCTAAATCCCACTAACCAGAACCGAGCCATATGCCTCACCTAGATGCATGGGAGTTGGGAAATGTAGTCTTTCTTGTGGACAGTCATGGGTCCATGTATCAATCAGGGGTTCCATTACTAGGCAAGAAGAAGAGAACAGGGGAGTTAGCTGTGCTGAGAACTCAGCCTGATCTGGATCTTCCAAGAGCAGCGGTGATGAAGCTTTAGCATCTGGCCTTGAACATCACAGGGGCCAAGTAGGATTGCAGTAGTATTGCTGGAGTAAATTCAGTTTTCTGCAGATAACCATAACCAGTACAATATTTTCCTGATAAAAGGGAAGTGCCTTTTCCCTTTTGCCCTCTTGGCCTAAAAAGGCACATGCAATGGAGGTACAGCAGCCATCTGTCAACCATGAGAACAAGAGCAACATGTTGGAATGACAGAGGCTGAAAACAGAAAGAGCCTGGGCTCTAAAGGCACAAAAGAGCAGCCAAGGACTGCCATGGACTGCCATCAATAGACTTCTTCTTGTGTGAAAAACCCCTTTGATGAAGCCAATATAGTTGAGTTTATTACGTAATCCGCCATTAGTATCACAATCCTAATCCTAAGTGATAGACCAGGCTGCCGTAATCCCACACCTGAACCCCGTGAATGGCTGGCAAATTCATTTCCCTGCAGCCATTCATTCTGCCCCACCATCCTTTCTTCACATGACTACCAGTATGATCTTTGAAAGTGTACAGCAAATTACATCATGTCCCTGCTTAAAGCTTCTGAAGGCTCCCCAGAGTATTTGAAATAAAACCCAAAGACCCCATCATGGCCCCTGATGTCCTGGTCCTTACACATCACTCTGACCTCATCCCCTATCTCTCCCCCTCTCTATTCACCAAGTTCTCTTCAACCCCTTTTCAATCAAAATCTGTTGTGCTTCAGAATCTTGTACTTGCTGCACCACAGAAACCTTCTCAGAGGTTCTTTCATGTCATTTAGGCCTCATTTCAAGTGCCACCTTTTTAGAGAGACCTTTCCTGAACCCACCTCCTGATATAAATCTCTTTTATTTTCTCAACAGCACTTATCACTACGGAATCATTTAAATTATTTACTGTTTGTTTATTTATTGCCTCTCTCCAGAAGACAAAGCCATGCTGTGTGTGGAGAAACTCACCCTTTCAAGAATAAAACTAAATGAAAATATTAATTCATTCTATTTCAGAGACCCCAGAAGCAAGCCATGCATGGGTAGGGGTGATATAACGAATAGTCGACGTTTTGAGTCATGTATTACTAAAAAATAAAGTCACTCCTTTCCCCTTAGTCTCTTCTCCCCAGATAGTGCAGCTGATAATTTACTTTAGCTGAGAACCTCATGAAGTCATTTCAAAGTTGGTCATTCATTGAGGGATTTACAGAGGTGGGTCGTAAAGAGATGTTTGCTCAGTAATGAGCCTTTCAAAAAAAAAATAGCTGCAGAACTGGGGGAGACAAATTTGAATGCATGGGGAGGATATTTTAAAAAACGGACCTACACTTCGTAGCATAAGAAGCAGACAATGGCCGGGTGCGGTGGCTCACGCCTGTAATCCCAGCACTTTGGGATGCCAAGGCAGACGGATCACGAGTTCAGGAGATCGAGACCATCCTGGCTAATACGGTGAAAACCCGTCTCTACTAAAAATGCAAAAAATTAGCCGGGCGAGGTGGCAGGCGCCTGTAGTCCCAGCTACTCAGGAGGCTGAGGCAGGAGAACGGCATGAACCCGGGAGGCAGAGCTTGCAGTGAGCCGAGATGGCACCACTGCACTCCAGCCTGGGTGACAGAGCGAGACTCCGTCTCAAAAAAAAAAAAATTATGCTACATCTACTCTTGTATGGACATACTATGTTTATTCATTATCAGATGATGGACATTGAGTGGTGTTCACTTTTTGGCTGACCCTTATATTGCCCATAAAATAGAATTTGGGGGACTTCAGGCATCATCCAATCCAGAAGCTTCTAAATTTGTTTTTAGCAGTGGCACTGTTCTTTAAAATAAATGTTCTCATTGCTGAAATTGGGTAATCAGTAATAAGGGTTCATTATGTTATTATCCCTACTTGTGTGTATATTAATTTTCCATAGTATTTTTAAAAGATTACATTGAAATTTAATATGTAAAGCAGATTGAATGTATGTAGTTTAAAACTGCAAAGTATTCTTCCAATATTTTGCATACTTGCAACGAATCATTTCCAAAGAATCTTGGCAGATGATCTCCAATTTCTTAAATACTTGCAATGACAAAGAGTACTCTAACTTTGAGGCAGTCACAGTTGGATAGCTCTGTCTGTGAGAAAATAATGTTTATATTGATCCAAAATATGCGCCTTATAACTTCGAGTGGGAATCAGACAATTCCTCCACCATGAAAGTATTTTTATCTTCTTTATTTTTATTTTATCTAGTGCCTTTTCAAAGAATGCCAAATAGCTGGCAGAGTTTGGTATTCTGTATCACACTAACATATGCTACACAGTCTGCTTGAGAGATGTTAAGGGCTACGTTCCCATCTTCTGGGTTAAAAAGATATGAGCAAAATATTTAAGCAAAATTAAGATACCTGCAGGCAAAATCTGACGAAGTGTTGCACATTGTGCTACATAATAGACTGAGATTTTTTTTTAATATCATGGTTCTCCCCAGTTTCACCTGCCTGTCAGCTCTACATCATTTGTTATTAATTTAACACCAGAGAACCTGGGAAAAGCTGCAAGCCAGTGAGCATACACAAATCAGGCACAGAGATGGCAAGTGCTCCTTGGAGATGCTTGTTCACAAACTTTAAGGGAATTTGAAAAATGCCCACCAATTTGCAGGATGCTTGATATGAAATCAAAGAAAGTAGAGAAACGCAAGTTACAACTGCCTGATTTGACTGCAGAAACTGACAGTAAGACAGGAGCAGCTAGGTCATCTGCAGAATTCCACGCAGCACTGTAGGAACACACCTCTCTCCTCCTGACTCCCTTGGCATCTTCCTCCTTAATAACAAGGGACCTATTCCCAGCATCAGCTGATTCTAAGACACACACATCTATGTGCATCTCAGCAGGATGAATTGGAGGAGGAAGGGCATCTAGTTTGCAGACTCATTTTTACAGCAGTACCCCTTCACTGAAAATTACTTTGGGCCGGCTGAGAGTGGTGGCTCATGCCTGTAATCCCACACTTTGGGAGCCTGAAGGGGGTTTGGGGGGGGCTGGATCACCTGAGGTCAGGAGTTCGAGATCAGCCTGGACAACATGGTGAAACCCCGTCTCTACTAAAAATGCAAAAATTAGCTGGGTGTGGTGGCATGGCCCTGTAATCCCAGCTACTCGGGAGGCTGAGGTGGAAGAATTGCTTGAACTTGGGAGGCAGAGGCTGCACTGAGCCGAGACTGTGACACTGCACTCCAGCCTGGGCCACAGAGTAAGACCCTGTCCCCAAAAAATAAAAAAATAAAAAAAGAACTACTTTGGACCCTACAGTGAAAATTTATATAAAGCATGTTTGTGCCCAGTTAGCCAAAGCCCAGTTTCAGATGAGTAGTCTTCATCCCAATGTTCAAATGCCATTTTAATCTCAAAAAAAGCCTGAAAGCAAAATTTTTCAATGTGAAAAAGACCCTCATCTACTAAAGTTCCTCATAAAAGTCCATCTACTTTCATCAGTATATGTATTATATATGCTAGTGCATTTATATAAGACAAATAATGTTGACCATATATATCCACATTCGCTGAAAGCCAAGGATTAAACTTAAAAATTGGCACTGATCATAATGTTGCAGCAACTGACTAAATGCTCACCAGACCACTTCCCTCTTCTTCCCATATCCATCAGGTTTCCTGCAGGAAACAGAATCTAACTCTGATGTTTCAAGAGGCTCTAAAGAAAGGACTAGATATAGAAGCATGGAAAGGATTAAGAAAATCAATCCGGGAAGTTGAGGTGCCCAGGGACTAGCGAGAATAGAAAGCCATTACCACTTCTAGGTTACCAACTGCTCTCAGATAACACAGCCTGTTTTCTGGTCATTCCACCAATAGGGTACAGACTTCCTCCCAATCAATAGATCAGATATGGAGACTAATGACCCTCCTTCATGCACCAAGAGGGTAAGAAAGAAAGTCTATTACTAACACACAGAGCACTTCTGGGGAAGGGCAGGTGCAAGCTGTCATGAAGCTGTGGGGTTCAAACATCAAGAGGTCAGGAGCTTGGGGTGGGGAGTTCCTTACATGAAGTCCCAGATGTATGATGGTGGGCAGGGCAAGGGTGGATGGAGGCCTAAATGCTGTGAACAGTCAAACATCACAAACGGAGTCAGACTCTACTGCACAGCCAAATGCAGGAAGGGAGAAAGGCAATAAATACTCCAAACTCATGCTCTCCAATCTCTTAACTGTGCCTCTCACACTGAACCTATCTGGAAGCCAGAAGGTAGGAGACTCTGGGTAATGTCATCCACAGACTCAGTCTTCTGTGTCAAAGAGCAGGGCCAAGGAGAATGGGAATAAAACTGGGGCACAGGTGCAGAATAACAAGCAGACTGACGGATCAGATCACTTCACTCAGCCTCCCTTTAGCCAGGTGTGTCTTCCTGACTGAGTTTCAGCCAATGAGATCTGGACAGAAATGATGTGCAACATTTTCAGACCTAGCCCATAATACCTAGTGTAGTCCTCAACGGTCTCCCTCTTGCCTCATCTATAGTTCAAATGACAAGAGCCTAGGGCCCAGAAAGGGACTTTGAAGCCTTAGAGGATGATGAAATCACTAGACTGGAAGTCTGAGTTCCCAAGTGACTGGCAATCAGAGACCCACATTGAACCATGGCATGAGTGTTCTATGTGCTAAGCCTCTGAGACAGTGGAACTACTTGTTATCAAGACAACTATAACTAATACATACATGAATGTTATAGAGAAAGAAAAAGTCTAAAGTGAACTGAAGTTTACAAAAGATTCTAAGATAACTCTTTAAAAGCCATTTTAAAAATTATTAGCAGAGAAAGGCCATGAGAGAATAAGTTACCAACTTGGGACCAAAGTTATCAACCTTCGTTTTACAAGCTTTGCCCCTATACTTCCTGGCAGTATTACTGAAGCTGTGCTCTATTATATGGTAAAAAGGAGACGAAAATAGCTTTGGGTAGGAAACCAATAGTCCCCGTCACAGATGGGAACACGTGGGGCCCTTCAACATCAGCATGTGGATGGCTAGTCCTTGAGCCTATATATAGCTTTGTTTCTCTTTCTTTTTTTTTTCTTCCTTTCTATTCTTTGTTTGTTTTGTTTCTTGGGTTTTTTGTTGTTGTTTTTGTTTTTTAGGACAAAGTCTTGCTCTGTTGGCCAGGCTAGAGTGCAGTGGCTATTCACAACCACAACCATAGCTCACTGCAGCCTTAATCTCCTGGGCTCCTGCCTCAGCCTCCCAAGTAGCTGGGACCACAGGTGCATGAAACCATGCCCAGCTACCTTTGCACCATTCTAAAACCCATCTTCTTTCTTTCTTTTTTTTTTTTTTTTTGTTGTTGTTGCTGTTGTTGTTGAGACAGGGTATCACTCTGTTGTCCAGGCTGGAGTGCAGTGGCATAATCTCAGCTCACTACAACCTCTGCCTCCAGGGTTCAAGTGATTCTCGTGCCTCAGTCCCCCAAGTAGCTGGGATTACAGGCGTGAGCCACAATGTCCAGCTAACTTTTGTATTTTTAGTGGAGACAAGGTTTCACTATGTTGGCCAGGCTGGCCTCGAACTCCTGACCTCAAATGATCCACCTGCCTCAGCCTCCCAAAGTGCTAGGATTACAGGCATGAGCCACCGCACCCAGCCCCATTCTCTTTCAACACTCCTCTGTCCCTCTAATATTTTGCCCCAATGATTACTATTCATTAACCTTCATTCACTCATTCTAGAAATATTATTGAATGCCTACTCTGTGTCAGTTGCATCTCAAGTGATTTAGAGTCTATTTGGAAGAGTCCAAAATGTGAATAAATAGGTGCAATGAAGTATGGCAAATTTCTTTGTAGGGAGCAAATACAGGGTTCAGCAGAACCCAAAACACAGAGTGACCAGCGCTGCCTGGGTTGGGGGTGAGGATAGGAAGGGATTAGGAAAGTCTGCAGAGAGAAGGTGACCCTGAGCAGAGTCTGAAAGGAAGTAGTTCTCGGGGCACATGTCCCTTCAATGGCCTGTGCTGCTCTTGAACAGAAAGAATTAGCCTGTCACCAGCATGCTGGCCCCAGGCTGACTCTTCACCTGAAGGGTGGCACCGAGGACATGCTCCGCCCTTGAGCCTTCCTCCAGGGAGTGTGGAGAAGACGTTCTGCTGCTAAAAATCCTGTGACTCTGCTGTCATTGTCCCCAGGGCTGTGGTTGGAGCTGTGCTGACAGCTCCTCTCTCACACCTCCTCTGCAACAATCTCAGTGACACTGTGCAGCAGGGTCCCCAGCATGGCTCTCAAGCCAAGATCCACCCAAGCCTTGATGAACTGGAGTCCCCCAAGATGAGCCTGGAGTTCTAAATTGAGTCGCCGCTGAGTCGGAGAATTAGGAGGCTATAGAGAGGATGTCGGGGCAGGACTCAAAATCTGGGGGATACTTTGTTCTTTTCTAAGGTATTTCTCTATCTGTAATGCTCTGAAGATTCATTTTCTTACACTTCTTGGAGCCTCAATTTCCTCATCTATAAAATGGGGATAACAATGGTATCTGCTTCAAAGGCTGGTGTGATAATTCATGAGTTAATACAAGAGCTTAGAACAGAGTCCAGCACAGAGCAGTGATCAGTAAGTGTTTGACAGCCGGATGCCGAGAGGGAGGAGAATGAGGACGATGGCGATGATGATGGTGATAATGTAATAAATGGCCACTTCCTGAGCCCAGAGAAGGTGGTTTGGGGGATCAATGAATGTTTGGGAGACTAGCGAAAGAAAATGATTTTTCTTTCAGTACATTGGTTGTCCATTCCTGACTTGTAGTTTTGAGTCATTTTCATTTGCACTGGTCAACCGTCAGATAAGGGATTTTTAATTTTTGGTGTTTAATGTTTGCTTAAAGATGAGACTGTGTAATATCCTCACAGTTCTCATGTTACTTGTTTTGACCCATTGACCTAGCTTTCCACATCATTCCATATGTTTGCATGATTCTTTATTCATTCGGCAAATGAATGTATCCAGTGATCACTCTGTTCCAAGGCTGGTGCCTGGTGCGATGACTCAGTAATAAACAGGATGCAGTCTGTGTGCTCAGTCAGCATGCCGGCCAGGGCAGGCAGATACCAAGAAGGTAGCCTCAGCACAGTGGGGTCTGTCTTGTGGCAGGAGCATTCCCAAGGCTGTTATGAGTGCTCAAATTCAGCCCTAAGAGAGGAAGCGGGGCATTCCTGCTGGAGTGAACCAGAGACAGAAAGGCCCAGAGGCAAGAGAATATTTTGGGCTCCCAGGAGCTGTGAGGAGATGGCCAAGGCTGGGGCAAAAAATGCCAGGCAGGAAGTGTCTAGAAGTGAGCATGAAAAAGTCAACAGAGGTCAGGTTATAAAGGACCTTAGCTCCCAGATAAAGGAGGCTGGACTAAATTCTAAGTGCCATGAAGAGCCACAGGCATGTTTTCTGGAAGGAGTGACCAAATAGATTGGCAGCTAAGAAAGATCACCTGAGGCCAGGCATGGTGGCTCACACCTGTAATCCCAGCACTTTGGAAGGCCAAGGTGGGTGGATCACGAGGTCAGGAGTTCAAGACCAGCCTGGCCAACATGGTGAAACCCTGTCTCTACTAAAAAATACAAAAAATTAGCTGGGCGTGGTGGTGCGTGCCTATAATCCCAGCTACTCAGGAGTCTGAGGTAGGAGAATCGCTTGAACCTGGGAGGCAGAGTTTGCAGTGAGATGAGATCACACCATTGCACTCCAGCCTGGGTGACATAGCAAGACTCTGTCCTCCGCATAGAGATAGGTGTATATAAATGATTGTAGATAAGAATTGGCTCACACAATTATGGAGGCTGAGAAGTCCAGTGATCTGCTGTCTGGAAGTTAGAGACCCAGGAAAGATGCTGTGATATGGTTTGGCTGTGTCCCCACCCAAATCTCATCTTGAATTGTAACTCTCACAATTCCCACGTGTTGTGGGAGGAACCTGGTTGGAGGTTATTGAATCATAGGGGTGTGTCTTTCCCATGCTGGTCTCATGACAGTGAATAAGTCTCATGAGATGTGATGGTTTTAAAAATGGGAGCTTCCCTGCACAAGTTCTCTTCTCTTGTCTGCCGCCACATGAGATGTGCCTTACACCTTCCACCATGATTGTGAAGGCTCTCCAGCCACGCAGAATCGTAAGTCCCATAAACCTCTTCCTCTTGTAAATTGCCCAGTCTCAGGTATGTCTTTATCAGCAGCGTGAAAATGGACTAATACATGGTGGTACCATTCAAAAGCCTGGGAGCTGGACAGCAATGGTAAAGATTCCCATCTGAGTTTGAAGACTTGAGAACCAGGAGCACCATGGGCAAGAGAAGATCAGTGTTCCAGCTCAGCAGTCAGGTCAGGAGTAAATATCACCTTCCCTCATACTTTTGTTTTATCCAGGTCCTCACAGACGGGATGATGCCCACCCACGCTGGTGAGGGTGATCATCTTCATTCAGTCCACCAACTTAAATGCTCATCATTTCTGGAAACACCCTGACAGACACACCCAGAAATGATGTATTACCAGATATCCAGGCATCCTGAAGCCCAGTCAAGGTGACACATAAAATTAACCATCAAAAATAAAGGATGCCCAGAGGCCTCTAAAAATTTTTAGAGGCATCGTTCAAGGACCCTTCCAATCCAGCATCTGCTTACCGGTCTAGCCTGAACAGTTACTCCAAAGAATCATGCTCTCTTCCACTTTGCAGCCTTTGCATATGCAATTCCCATTGCTCAGAACTCTCCCTCAGTTTTCCACCCCACCACTCACCTGACCAACTCTTGTTCATCCTTCAAGTCTCAACTTGAACACCATGACCTCTTGGAAGCAATCTTTTTTTTTGAGATGGAGTCTCACTCTGTTGCTCGGGCTGGAGTACAGTGGCACAATCTTGGCTCACTGCAACCTCCACCTCCCAGGTTCAAGCAATTCTCTGCCTCACCCTCCTGAGGAGCTGGGATTACAGGTGCCCACCACCACCACAGCTGGCTAATTTTTGTATTTTTAGTAGAGATGGGGTTTCACCATCTTGACCAGGCTGGTCTTGAACTCCTGACCTCGTGATCTACCCAACTCAGCCTCCCAAAGTGCTGGGATTACAGGTGTGAGCCACCGCGCCTGGCCAGGTGCCTTCTCTGCATTCTTATCATGCCTTCCACTTCCTGATCTTTGCCTTATCGCAAAATTGTTCTAGTGTCTTTCCTCTCAAGATACTCTAAGTTTGATGGGAGTTGTTCATCAATGTGTCCCCAGTGCATTGTACAGTGCCTGGTGCATAGTAATGGCTCAATAAACAAGCGTGGTAAGTGCAAGACATACATAGATATGAGAGGTATCTATAGAGAGAACAAAATGCATGCATAGCACCTGCATCACTTCATTTACCACATATTTAATATCATTCACACCTAAGTTTAAAACCCTATCATATTCTGAAATAGAAAGTTAAACTCTTCTAAAACTGAAAATTTGCAGATGATGGCACTGCTAAGAGCAATCTGATACAGTAACAGTTTCTGGCATATGCAGCTCATTTTAACAGATGCCCATATGACATACAGAAAGCTGTCAGGCATGCTCCAAAAAGAAAAGCCATCCAGTTTATGTTCCACTTGCCAAATTAATTTCATTTGACATTTAATTTATATCCTAAGGTACTGTGGATTTAAAACTTGACTATGATAATAGCAGATTAGAGAAGTGTTCTATTTGACAAAATCAATTCATCAAGTTACTTTTATTATGAGTAAGGCTGTGTTGATATAGATATTTCAGATCAAATATGTAGATCATCTAAAAATACATTTATTGATTATTTCTAATAAAATATAAGCTTTCTCCTCTTTCTTATGTCTAATGTTAAGTGAAGTAAAGCTTGCACCTGCTCACCGTAACAACAGAGAAAGGAGACATTAGAAAATCAGAACAGTGTGGATTTAAAAGCCAGGAAGCAGAGTTGAAATTCTGCATCTGCCATAGGGGGTTTCAACCCTGGCCACATATTAGACTCAGCTGAGGATTAAAAAAATAATAATAATAGCACCCAGTCCCACCCCGGATAAAGTGAATCAGAATCTCCAGTATGGCATGGATTTTTTTTTAAATCCCCAGATGATTCATGCACAGATCTATTAGTTATGTGAATTTGGGCATGGAATTTAATACCCATAGTATATAAAATGGAATGTAGTAGACATTTGCCACAATCATGATGTGACAATCCACTTAAAAAAATTAACAGTTTATTAGTTGGAACCAGACTTGAAAAAAAGATTTATATATTGCAATTGGTTGACAGTTCCCTTATAATGCTTTCAACTTACAGGTTCACTTCTCTCTGCCTCTTCTTTTTGCTTTGCAATTTACTTGTTGAAACAACTGGATCATTTGTCCTATAGTTTTCATGATCTAGAATTTGCTCATTGCATCTCCATGACATCATTTAACATGATCCTCTTTCCTGCTATTATTTCTTGTAAATTGGCTGTTAGATCAAAAGGCTTGGTCAAATTCAGATTCGATTGGCAAGACTGGGTGATGATGTACACCTCTCTCAGAAGCAATTTATGTCTGTTTGTCTCTGTTTTTATGATGTGAATAGCTATTGATAATTGTCACCTAGATTCATTATTATATCCGTAGCTGCAAAACAATAATATTCTATTGTTCTGTTTTTATTAGTTAGAATTCTATAAAGACATTTTTCCTCATTAGAGTTTAGTTTCCCTGAGATACAGTTTACATAGGATAATCATGAAAAAATATATTGGTTTCTTCATGTGTTTTCTTTATCCTTTTTCAAAATAATGAATTGGATCTCTAGTATCCTCCAAAGGTAACGAATGAGGGTTATTTTGATTTTGTTCTTGTTTTTTTTTTAGTATCATTATGAACTCATAGACTTAAACATATTCAACATGTTTCAATTCATTGCAATTATTCTTATCGACTCTCAGCTTGTAATGACTATTATTGACCCTCAAGTGATCTGATCCTACCCTTTGACTCCCCTCATTACTCTTAGATACTTTCTTTTCTTTCTACTATAACTAGATGGTCCAGACTGATCTCCCCGCAAGGTTTGGATTCAGCCGGTCTCCAAAGAGCCCCCATTTCTTTTTGTGGGAAATAGTATTTGAAACCAGAATCTGGGTGCTGGGGTGCTCATTGCTACTGAGTTGTCCTTGTTTCTAGGCCTTTTAAGTAAACAGAGCTAGGTAGGAAATACTTTTCATTTTCCTTAAGATAAAAGCGTCATAAGTTCATATTGATATTACAATTCAAATTCAGGACCAGAAAGTTTTGATTTAACCTCATCTACCTTACAACTCCTCTTTTGGGCAACACCAAACACCCAACTTTCCAGCAACACCACATGATTGCATCTTTGCTTTATTCCACAGTACATATACAGCACCATACCAATGCTGACACTGCCAAGATGCTAACCAAACCAACAAACAAAAAGAACCAAAAACAGGTTTTCATGAATTTTGTCCTTAAAGCATATCTTACTAAGAGTATACAATTAAATGACTGTGCTATAAAGTCACTTAAAAGAGGTCCACACTGGGTGATGATGTCATCAATTTGATGTACAATATGCTTTGTTCTGCTTTCAGTTTTTTAGGGATTTCTTTTTTAATTTGATATTTCTATAATTATGCAAAGGCCAAACCTTATTTTCAATATACCACCCATTGGCATTGGATAAATGTTAATTTTTTTAAAAAATGTTTTATTACAAGCAAAAAGTGTACCTAAACCCTGAAAATGGATATGTGAATTATCTTAGAGGGTTGGTCTTTTAAAAAGTAGTAGAATAGTCATTCCATTATCTGAATATGGAAAGTAAAACAGATAATTTAGTGCCTAACAATCCACTTATACTGAAATTTCTTTTGTATTTTGTTATGTTGATTTGGCAAAAGTTTCTTTTCCTTATGTTTACTTCTGCTGACAGAGTAAACTCATTAAGTATTCTGGGATAGGGAAGGTGTAACACAGTAACAACATTCCCCACTAAACTTTGATATTTCTGATTCAATGATGAGTTACCTTGTAGGATTGTTCTATTTCTCTCAGACTAATACACACTTTGTTTATTCATTCTTCAAAGTGGAAAATATTTTGTATTTTCACAAATCTTTTGGAAATATTCAACATATACTACTAATTTTCTTTCTTTCTTCCTTTCTTTCTTTTTTGAAGATACAAGAATGTAGCAAGTTAGTGGGGCAAAGTTATGCACCTTGTTTATTTATATACCAAAACTTCATAAATTATGTAACCAGCCTTCTGGTACTGCAAAAAAAGATCATTAATGCCATTAATGGCTTATTTCCTTGAGCTGTAATTATTTGACCCCTATCTGACATACTCCGTGTTCTGTGAATAATCTTTAAATGTATAATTCTACTGCTAGTGTTGAGCTGTAGATCAACAGTAGAAAAACCAGTTTTTCGAATTCACCACTACAACACAATTAAAATCCTCATGAATTATGCTACACGTTAGAAACTCCTAATGGACTGTGAACTTTTTGCTATTCAATTTGATTGTTCAAATTTACAGATTCCTGAACCAAACTAAGGCAAATTTCAGTTCCCATCATATATAAATTCTCTTAGACTAGCAAATGAGTTAACGAGTTACCGCTGGCAGCCATGTCAATAGATTGCCATTTAGAGATCCAGATCCAGTCTACTGCAGCCACCGAAGCCCGGCCTTGGGGCCTTTCTACCAGTAACTAGCTCCCCAACAGTTCGAGTGGAAATTTACCATCACTTCTCCACCTGTCTCACACCCCGCCCTCAGCCCCGCCCCTTCCACCGGCCCCGCCTCCTGTGCTTTGGCGCGCGCTCTCCACGCCCCTTCCGTTCAGCCAATCGCCGCTGAAGTTTGCAGGAGTGGGACTTCTGTTTCCACCAATGCGGGAGGTTCTTGTTCTGCAGGTCTCGCGTCTGCCAGGAGCTACGGCCGGAAGATGGCGGCGGCCGCAGAGTTGTCGCTACTGGAGAAGTCCCTGGGACTGAGTAAGGGGAATAAATACAGTGCTCAGGGCGAGCGACAGGTGAGAAGGAGAGGCGGCGCGGAGGGGAAGAGGTGGACGGGAGCGGGGCCTGCCGAGCCCTGGCAGGACCCGGGCCGGCCACCAGATACGGGCGGAGTGAGGATGCTGCTACCCAGCTCCCCACGTGTCTGCGCCGCTAGCCGGCTGGCGCCTCTGGGCCTCGGCCCCTGCCATCCTACCTCCTGGAGGGAGGGGTTAACCAGCTCAGGTTGGGCTTGGCCTGAACTTCACCTCCTGGGAAATTGTCATCATCCCATTATGAGGAAACAAAACCAGTTGGAGGAGGGTCCTCACAGGGCTCTTAGACCAACCTGGAATGTATTCAGTAACTGGCTTTTTTTTTTTTCCCGTAATCGCACCTTTCATTCAGTTATTGCGCAGCGACTCCGTTATAGCTAACAGGGTGCCAGGTAGCACCGTGCTGGGTCTGGGGAATACAATGATGATTTAGGGGAACATGCTTCCTCCTCTCAGGCAGCTTGCTTTTTGGCCAGGTGGACAAACATTGCAACCATTTAAATTGGAAGAGTGCCACGTTGCACCATAAATGGCAGAGAGAACACCTAAGGAGTCTTGGCCCAATCTAGGGGATTCGGGGAAGGCGTTTCTAAAGCCTTGGATTATCAGTTTAAGTGTTACGACCCACAGTGAATGCGGGAAACATCACAAGGTATGAGATTGCCTGGTTAGGCACTGTTAGAACGTTTGTGTTTTATAGTTGTTTGTCGTAGAAGGAATGTATTAGAGAAGGAAATTGGTTGTAGGAAGACTACTTTGGATATATGTTTTTTTTGCTCCTTTGAGATTTTTTCCAAATGATGTTTGGTTTTTGTCTTTAATTTTTTCTCTTCTTCATTTGGTCCATGTGAAGATCTTGTCTAGAAAGTAGTAGTATAGTTTTTATTTAAGTTAACCTGAAGCCTAGAAAGGTTAAGTGTTCAGCCTAAGATCAGCCCTGTGATTGGTGGCAGAGTAGGCGTTGGAGCCAAAGTGGCCTTCTTTTGGTGTTTCCTCTGCCCCAGTGATAATTCCGTCCCTTCGGCCCCTACTCCCTAGCTTAGTGTATATATTATATAATATATATGTAGTATAAATATAATATATATGGCCGAGTGGACAAACATTGCAACCGTTTAAATTGGAAGAGTGCCATATATATATATATATATATATATATATATATATATATATTTTTTTTTTTTTTTTTTTGAGACAAAGTCTCACTGTGTCGCCCAGGCTGTAGTGCCATGGCATGATCTCGGATCACTGCAACCTCTGCCTCCCGGGTTCAAGCGATTCTTCTGCTTCAGCCTCCCAAGTAGCTGGGGTTACAGGTGTTCGCCACCACGCTCAGCTAATTTTTGTATTTTTAGTAGAGACCGGGTTGCACCATGTTGGCCAGGCTGGTCTTGAACTGGTGACCTCAGGTGATCCACATGCCCTGGCCTCCTAAAGTGCTGGGATTACAGGCGTGAACCACTGTGCCTGGCCTAGTTTATATTTTTTAGGGACCATTGCCAAGATATGAGTATTATCTAGTATGAGAAACAATCATCAGCAAATAATTTAAAGCACAACATAGTAAGCACTTCATGGACTGTCGTGGGTGAGCAGCAACTCTCTGGGGCTGGTGGCGCCAGGGTAAGAATTTACCAGGACAGCTGTACGTAAAGAAAAGCAGATTTATTAGAGAAAGTATGAAAATATGTTGCAAGAGTGCAACAGGCAAGTTAGTAAGAGAGGAGCTAACTGCAAGGAAACAAAGGCTGGCTGGGGATTTTACGGAATAGTACTTCAGTTGTGTGCTGAAGAGGGGTTTGTGCAGTACTGATAACACCAAGGTTGCAGTGAGCTAACTTGAGTTTTCTATCAGCCGAAGGTCCGGTGATAGCTGGACATGGAAAGATTGTTGAGTTATTTGTGCAGAAGGGCTGTGTCCTGGACCATGAAGAAAGGCAGACTTGTAGCTTATCGCCCTTCTCTTTTTGCTTTCCCTTGGTCCCCTCAACCTGACTTCTTTTCCCTAATTAGGACTCCATATGGAGCAAAACACTGTTGAGGAGTGTGAAAAAGGAAGTTAATTCTGACTATAAAAGTGGATGTATAAACTCATGGAAGAGCTGGCATTTAAGGGATTATGCTTTGAAAGATGTGTAAAACCAATAAATTATGAAGGATTGGGAAGTTTAGGGCAGTAAGTAAACCAATATGAGGAATGATGCAATGCAAGGTAAACCCCAAATTACAGTTTGAGGCCCAACTGTGAAGACTTCCGAGTTCAGAGTGTGGTTTTTAATTTAATTTTAATTAAAGCATTTTAGCAGTTAGCAGCTAGTGAAAGTTTCTGTTTACTTGTATGGGGAAAGGGTTGGCCATATGTGATAAGATTCAGCCATTTTTTGAGAAGACAGCTGACAGCAGTGAGCCAGCAATAAGGCATTCTCTGCAACATTACCAATCATAGTTTAAAAATTGAAAGCAGTTCAGAGATCCTTATCTAGGATATTGATTCTTTAAATTATGGTACATCAACACATTGACATACAGTCACGTGTTATTTAAAGACAAGGATACATTTCAAGAAATGCATTGTTAGGCAGTTTCATCATGTGTGAACATTATAGAGGGTTCTGTTTTTTTTTTGTGTGTGTGTGTGTGTGTGTGTGTGTGTGTGTGTGTGTGTTTTTGAGGCGGAGCTTCACTCTTGTTGCCCGGGCTGGAGTGCAATGGTGCGATCTCGGCTCACTGCAACCTCTGCCTCCCGGATTCAAGGGATTCTCCTGCCTCAGCCTCCCGTGTAGCAGGGATTACAGGCATGTGCCACCACGCCCGGCTAATTTTTGTATTTTTAGTAGAGACGGGGTTTCTCCGTGTTGGTTAGGCTAGTCTCATACTCCCGACCTCAGGTGATCCGCCCACCTCAGCCTCCCAAAGTGCTGGGATTACAGGCGTGAGCCACTGCGCCCAGCCTTAGAGTGTTCTTAAACCTAGATAGTTTATCCTACTTCACAAATAGTAGGTATATGATATAGCCTATTGCTCCTTCAGGCTACAAACCTGTACCGCATGTTACTGTACTGAATAATGTAGGCAGTTGTAACACAATGGTAAGTATTTATGCATCTCAATATACTGAAACATAGAAAAGGTACAGTAAAAATACTTGATTATAATCTTAAGGGAGCACCATTGGATATGCCATCCAGAACATCGTTGACCAGAATATCATTATGCATTGCACGCTATTGCATATGCAGCCATTAAAAGTCATTACTTTGAAGACTATGGAACCTTAAAATGAATGTGAAAATAGTATGTGTCTCATAAGAATTGTGTATTTTAGGGTATGTAAAGGAAAGAAAATGGACGTTTAAGCCAATAGGACTTTATTCAAACCCTGGCTCTGCCATTGCAAACCAAGCAACCTTGGTTTTTATTATCTGTAAAATGAGGATGAGATGACTTACCTTATCTTAGAAGATGTAATGATTAGATGAGAACGTAACTGGGAATTTTTTTGAGAGCATGCTTGGGTTGTGGATAATTTATTTTTACAAATAATTCTCTTTAGAGTTGGTTGTGTCCCCTCCGCCCAGCAGTTGTGAGTCCCTTGATTTCTCTTTTTTCCTCAAAATATACCATACATTCAGTACACACATGTTGATGTTACCACCAAGTTCACACACTCAGGTAACCACCCAGTCAAGGAGTAGAACATTACTGGCACCCTTCGGAGGGTTCCATACTGTTTTCTTTCAATACATTTAATTTATTGGTGATCTTAGAGCTTGTGGTTTCATTTGAATTTAAGACAAAAGTGAGAAGTCAAGGAGCTATGAATAGTGAATGGAAAGTGAAAAGAATTTTACCTCCTTTACTTTGAAGTTACCTCCTTACTTTGAATCTGTATCCTGTAGAGTATTAATCTCCTTGTATACTTCACCAAGTCGTGTTGATGTAGATGTATGAAAATGCCTTGCAAAGTATAAATCACTATAGAGAACAAGATAGTATTTCGGCCGGGCGCGGTGGCTCACGCTTGTAATCCTAGCACTTTGGGAGGCCGAGGTGGGTGGATCACGAGGTCAAGAGTTCCAGACCAGCCTGACCAACATAGTGAAACCCCGTCTCTACTAAAAATACAAAAAACTTCCGGGTGTGGTGGCACGTGCCTGTAGTCCCAGATACTTGGGAGGCTGAGGTGGGAGAATCGGTTGAACCCGGGAGGCAGAGGTTGCAGTGAGCCGAGACCATGCCACTGCACTCCAGCTTGGGTGACAGAGTGCGATTCCGTCTCAAATGAAAAAAAAAAAAGATACTATTTCTATTTCATTGCTAAGAAGAGCAGCAGTCTTCCCAAAAAAACAATTCTTTTTTCATTTACTTAAGTCATTGAGATTGTATACTTGTTATTTGTGTTTGGTCAGTCTTCCCATTAGGTAATACTTTCCATTTTCTTTTACATTTCTCATAATGCATTGTCCTTATTTGTGTATCAATAAAATTTAAATTAATTGTCAATTTCTTATAAGCAAGCAAACCTGATCCTTTATATTGCTGTCGTAATAGGGGAAACATGAAGTCAGGTTTATTTAAGTATGTTCACTTTGCTATATAATAGGGTGCAGGTAAACTTGATTGAAATTAATACAGTATAATTAGAGTTTCCATTTTCTCTCATTGTACATAGTTTAAAATTATTGTAGTAATATTATACTGATTATTGTAGTAATATTATACGGATTTTTGCAATGTTATTACCAGTTTCATCATCAAGCATCTGTTAACAAATTGTAAATTATTTAACTGTTATTTTCTAGACTTTCATTTGTATGTAATTTAGTATCTTAGAGTAAAATCCAGGATTATTTCAAAAAACACTTGAGGGATTTCGTGGTTACTTAGAAGTTATAATCATGATGTGGTCCTTGTTTTTTAAATTCTGTGAACTTTTTTTTCTTTTTAAGATTCCAGTTCTTCAGACAAACAATGGTCCAAGTCTAACAGGATTGACTACTATAGCAGCTCATCTAGTCAAGCAAGCCAACAAAGAATATTTGCTGGGGAGTACTGCAGAAGAAAAAGCAATCGTTCAGCAGTGGTTAGAATACAGGGTCACTCAAGTAGATGGGCACTCCAGTAAAAATGACATCCACACACTGTTGAAGGTATCGTGACTTCTCTTATAGGCTGAAATGCATGAACTGTTAATCAGAAATCTCTTTCCCCTGAGATTAAAAAGCTGTAGCTGTTGGCCTTCTTCACCTCTTTCCTTCTGCCTCAGTAGTTTGCATCTGTTATTCCCTCTGCCTGGAACAGACTCTGTTCCCCCCACCAGCCCCTCCAAGATATGCTGCCTTGGAAACTTCCTTGACTACTTCTCTCTCAGCTGGATGAGGTTCTTTGTTCTATATGCAGTCACAGCACCCTGTGCTTTTCCTTCAGGACCCTTGTCATAGTCAATAATTACAGTATTATATGACTTTTTTTGTTTTTTTGATGTGATGCCCCACTCGACAATCCCGATTCTCTAAGGGGTAAAGTACTTTCTCAGAGGCAAGAGAGAAGCAGAATCTTTTAGGGTTTAGTTTGAAAAAAACTGTCTGATCTGGGAAAGCTCACCTTTCCCTGTTTTGAGAATCATTGCTTTAAATTTTTATTTTCAAAGGCATCAAATAATAAAATAATCTACTGGATATAGCTTCAGAGTTACCAAGAATAAAAAAAAATTCCAAATGAAGTTATTTTTGTTAATTTATTTATATAAAAAGAAGGCAGATTTTAAGATTTTGTTGAAGCTTTAAATTTGAAAGAAACCTAGAGATTATTCAGACAACAGCATATCACTGTAGGAATTCCTTCTGTTTCTTAATTTTATTCTGATTGTTATATCCTGGCAATGTAAGTTGTACAAGAAAGGTCTTCCTTTATCACTTTGGGGAAAATGGCTCAAACTGTGTTCTTGATAGATGCCATCAAGAGAACTGGTACAAAGTCAGTTTCAGAACTTGGCCCTTTGTATGTCTGTTGTGATCAACCATTTATTCTTAATACCATATTGGTCATTCACAGGGACCCTTCTCTTGTGCCCCTACTATTCACAGCATTTCCAGGGGGAAGCAGTCATATCCTCCCTCCAAGTGAATGTGAGATTTCAGGCAAATAACAAGTGAACACAACCATCTTTTACAGTTTTCCAAGGGAAAGGATAGTAATGAAGTACTTGATTCCGAAAGATAGGAACAGAATTTCAATGAATTGGGTTTATAAGATTCAAAAGTTATATTAATAGATGTGGTATTAGAAGCATAGAAATAACTTCCAAAGTGTTATCTCTGAGACATGTAAATATTTAATTGGGAGCCTCTGATTTAAGATGTTCTTGTTTTTGAAATATATGTGGAGCTGGACAATTTGCATTGTCTTCCTTGTCTGACCGCAGTTTGCTCATCTGCACCTACTATATAAACGCTTGCAGTGCACCAGGATGCAGTTCTAAGGGCTGGTGGTGCATTAGACACAGTTTCTGCCCTTATAGAACTCAGACTGGTGGGTGAGACCGATTGTACATAGAGTGGATTGCAATGTGATTTTGGCCACATGCACAGATGAGAAAAGGGTTGATTTGTTTTGTTTTGCTATTTTAAGACAGTATTGTTTTTATTTTAAAAGCAGTAAATATTACAGAATTTAGGAAGTAGAAATAAGCAAATGGAGGACATTTGAAACATCCATAGTCCCACCAACAAGAGAGAACTATTAATGCTTATGTTTGGCCATCAGATATTTATTAAACCCCTTTTGTGTTTTTTCTATGCCTTTTTTTTCCTTTTGTATATATGTGTGCATGTATTAAAAAAAAAAAAAAACAGGCACCTACTGGGCATGGTAACCTGTTGGTTTTGTTTTGTTTTGTTTCTTTTTATTTTTTTGTCACAGGTTCTCACTCTGTCACCCAGGCTGGAATGCAATGGCGTAATCTTGGCTCACTGCAACCTCCGCCTCCTGGGTTCAAGTGATTCTCGTGCCTCAGCCTCCCGAGTAAATGGGATTACAGGTGTGCACCACCACGCATGGCTCGTTTTTTTGTGTTTTTAGTAGAGATAGGGTTTCATCATGTTGGCCAGGCTGGTCTCGAACTCCTGACCTCAAATGATCCGCCCACCTCAGCCTCCCAAAGTGCTGGGATTACTGGCGTGAGTCACCTCGCCTGGCCAGTAAACTGTTTTTTTGTTCACCGACAATGTGTTGTCAACACCTTTTTACATCAACAAGTATTCACTTACACTCTCCTTTTAATAACATGTTAGCGTTGCATCATATATAGTTGACCCTTAAACAGTGCAGGGCAATGACACCCTGAGCAGTTGAAAATCCATGTATAATTTTGATTCCCCAAAAACTCAATTGCTAATAGCCTACTGTTAACTGCAAGCCTTACCTGTAACATAAAGTCAGTTAATACATATTTTGTATTTTATGTGTATTATATACCGTATTCTTAAAGTAAGCTAGAGAAAAGAATATTATTAAGAAAATCATAAGGCGGAGGGAATACGTTTACTATTCATAAAGTGGAAGTGGATTGTCATATAGCTCTTTATCCTCATAGTCTTCACTTCACATTGAGTAGGCTAAGGAGGAGGAAGAAGAGCACGGGTTTGTCTTACTCTCTTGGGTGACAGAGGTAGAAGAAAATTTGTGTTTAAGTGGACCTGTGCAATTCCAACCTGCGTTGTTCAAGGTTTAAGCTGTAATTGTACCACAATTTAAATTATCTATCCCTGGGTAGTTACTAGATTGTTGCTAAATACTTGAGCACATTCCCATTTGTTTCCTTAGCCTAATTTTTTTTTTTTTTTTTTAAATAGAGTCTTGCTCTGTCACACAGGCTGCAACCTCTGCCTTCCAGGTTCAAGCAATTCTCCTGCCTCAGCCTCCCAAGTAGCTGGGATTACAGGTGTATGCCACCACACCCAGCTAATTTTTTTTGTATTTTTAGTAGAGATGGGGTTTCAGCATGTTGGCCAGGCTGATCTCGAATTCCTAACCTCAAGTGGTCCACCCGCCTCGGCCTCCTGAAGTGTTGGGATTACAGGAGTGAGCCACCGCACCCGGCGTCCTTAGGCTAAATTCCTGCAAGAGAAACTGCTAGGCTAAAAGCTATATATTTTTAAAGCTATGTTGCTCATTTGTCCTCCAGAAAAGTACATTATTATAGTATCATAGCATATAAGAGTGGCCTCTTCCACAAAACTAACATGGTATTACCTCTTTCTCCTTCACTACCCCAATTTAATTACCAAAACAAGAAAATTTAAAAATTATTCGTTTGAGGCCGCATGCGGTGGCTCACGCCTGAAATCCCAGCACTTTGGAAGGCCGAGGCAGGCAGATCACTTGAGGTTAGGAGTCCGAGATCAGCCTGGCCAACATGGTGGAACCCCCATCTCTGCTAAAAACAGAAAAATTAGCTGGGCGTGATGGCACGCACCTGTAGTCCCAGCTACTCAGGAGGCTGAGGCAGGAGAATCACTTGAACCTGGGAGGCGGAGGTTGCAGTGAGCCAGGGTCACTCCACTGTACTCCAGTCTGGGCAACAGAGCGAGGCTGTGTCTCAAAAAAAAAAATTATTTGCTTTTTTTTTTAATACAATTATTAATGTGTCGTTTTCATACTGCTTATTAGCTATTTTATTATTTTTAAAAATTCACTTACATGTATTCCTTGCCTGTGTTTGTACTGGGCTGTATAGGTTTTTATTATTTATTTTTAAAACTCTTCCTTTTAGGATATTATGAAAGGGTTTAATTCTTATTTGTCAAAGTGCCATTTCAGTGGTAAAACCATAAAACCACAATGCTAAGTTTAAATGCCTCATAAATAAGGTAGTATATAATTTCAAAAAGCAGGCATTACAAAACACTAACATTTGTTGAGTCTAGATGGAGGGTATATAGTTGTTTATTTTACTGCTTTTTCAACTTTTTTGTATTATTAGAAAATTTAATAGATGGAAGGAAAAAGAAAAATCAGGTGGAATTGTAGGGGAAGTATTTAACAGTTTGACAATGGCATCAGAAAGAATTGTAAAAAAAAAAAAAAAAAAAGGAAGCGAATGTCAGACATAATTAGTTCTCATCTGTGAATATTTTGAATGTGTGTGAAACTCTGTCTTTTGGTAGTAAAGATTTTATTTATATCATGAACCCAGAAAATATTACCTAATCATAGTTTATAAAAACTACATTTTTAAGAGTCTTGGCCGGGCACGGTGGCTCACGCCTGTAATCCCAGCACTTTGGGAGGCCGAGGCAGGCTGATCACGAGGTCAGGAGTTTGAGACCAGCCTGGCCAACATAGTGAAACCGCTGTCTCCACTAAAAATACAAAAAATTAGCCAGTCATGTTGTGTGCCTGTAGTCCCAGCTACTCAGGAGGCTGAGGCAGGAGAATCGCTTGAACCCTGGAGGCAGAGGTTGTGGTGAGCCCAGATCACGCCACTGTACTCCAGCCTGGGCAACAGAGTGAGACTCCATCTCAAAAAAAAAAAAAAAAAAAAAAAGCAGTCTTTATCACTAAAACACAAAACACGGATATAGATTCTGTTTTTGGAAAAAATATACAAAACTGTTATTGTTTCAGGTCTTTAAATACTTCTTGAAATTAAATGAAGATGTATTTATTTTATTTGAAATTTAATGAAGATATTTTATTTCTTGTACTTTCTCAAAGTTGATTTCTCTGAAGATATTTGGAGAGAAATCATCTCCATTCAACAGAGTACCATAAAATTTAAGTGGTAGTCCCTAATATACCAATACATTCTACCCTTTCCAGCCAAATTTTATTTTGATTCTTCCATGCCTGTCTCATTTGTGTCCATATTCCTTTATGTTCTTATCTGTACCACCTTTAGGGGCTCATATTCATATACCATTTTGAAAATGACTGACTGTCTTTAAATGAAAATCGTCAGAGAAAATGTGTTTACTCTTTATTAAGTGGAAGTAGATTATCATAAAGGTCTTCATCATTATCTTCATGTTGAGTATGTATCATGTTAACTTTGTTTGCAAACTCAAAGAGATTAAATTCAATTCTGCAAACATTTTTTATTGATTGCTGAACCACTATATTCTGCAAACATTTTTTACTGATTGCTGAACCACTATATTCCAGATACTTTGGGATGTTGCTATGGTCTGAATGGTTGACTCCCCCTCCCCAAATTTATATGTTAAAATTCTAACCCCCAAAGTTATGGAGTTAGGAGGTGGGGTCTTTGGGGGTGATTAGGTCCTGGAGGCAGAGCCTTCATGAATGGAATTATTGCCCTAATAAAAGGCCTGAGAGAGACCTCACCCCTTCCACCAAGTGAAAAGACAGCTGCCTGTGAACCAGGAAGCAAGCCCTTACCAGACACTGCATCTGCCATCACCTTCATCTTAGACTTCCAGCCTCCAGAACTGTGAGGAATAAATCTCTTTTGTTTACATGCCACCCAGTCTATGTATTCTATTATAGTTGCCCAAGTGGACTAAGACAGATGTGATTTGAGAATCGGAACAAAATGCCCTCTCTATAGTTTAAGGAATTCTTCTAGAATAAATGCTGTTCATCACTGGACAGTTTTTTATATCTAGTCCTTAGAGGAGCCTCAAAGAATATTTAATAATAGTTCATATAACTCATTTACAAAACCTTTCTCTGAAGGTTTTATGAATCTGTTGTTTCACTTAATTGACTATAATTCAATGTAAATTCCTGTTCTGCTAAATTAAGTGTTAATTTTAAGAGAAGCCAACATTTTCCATCTCAGGAAATTGACGTATTCATGCTGTTCTGCCAGAAAATACCTCTAACAAAAGTAAAAATAGATAAATTGGACTATGTCAAAATTAAACATTTCTGGACACAATCAAAGGAGACAACAGAGTGAAAAGGCAGCCCATAGAGTAGGAGAAAATATTTGTAAATCATATGTTTGTTAAGGGGTTAATATTCAGAATATGTGAAGAACTCCTACAGCTCAGCAACAAACAAACCCAATATCCTGATTTCAAAAGTGGCAAAGGACTTTAGTATACATTTAGCCAAAGAAGATATACCAGTGGCCAGCAAGCATATGAAAAGATGCTGGAATCACTAATCATTAGGGAAATGTAGATCATGTTTACAGTGAGATATCATCTCACACCCATTAGGATGGCTACTACCAAAAAAAATCCCACAGAGCAACACAACATGTGTTGGTGAGGATATGAAGAAATTGTAACCCTTGTGCATTGTTGGTGGGAATGTAAAATGTGCAACTGCTATGAAAAGCAGGAATAGCACTTCCTCAAGAAATTAATGGAATTACCATATGGTCCAGCAATTGTACTTGTAAGTATATACCCAAAAGAATTCAAAGCATGGTTTTGAAGAGATGTTTGTACGCTCCTGTTCACAGCAGCATTACAGTAGCCAAGAAGTGGAAACAACTATGTCTATAGACACAGGAATCGATAAAATATGATCTGTACATACAGTGGAATATTATGCAGCCCTAAAAAAGAAGGAAATCCTGACATGTGCTGCATGCTACATGGAGGAACTTTACATTCAGTGAAACAAGCCAGTCACAAAAGTACATATAGTCTATGACTGCACTTATATGAGGTATCTAAAGTAGTCACATTCATAGAAACAAGGTAGAATCGTGGTTGCCAGGACCTAGAGGCAAGGGGAAATGGGTGAATTATTGTTTCATGGATATAGAGTTTCTTAGAATTCTCTAAAGAGATTGAAATTGTTGGGGAATTTTTGTATTTTAATGGAAAAAATAAGTGTAACTAATGAGCATGAGTAACAAAATGTTTCCAAAAACAAAAAGCTAGACTTTAACATGATCATAGATGGCACTTTGAATATCATTTTCTAATGTTTTCTTGTTTATTTAAGACTAGTAATGTTTAGCCAATTTTTTTAAAATGAGGTGACTGGCGTATTATTTGTGATTTTGAATGAATATTAATGTCAAAGAGTAAATTTATTAAATGGCAATATTTTGTTTTCTAGTAGCCTAAATCTTTTAAGTCATGATATGATAATTAACTTTATTATTACTGTTTTTTACATTAATATTT